>NC_000006.12:155070790-155222305 GCF_000001405.40 Homo sapiens
GACTTAGTTCCCAAAGAGCTCCTTTATTTATGTGTGTCTACATGACTGACCCTATTGGCTCAGCTTGGGTTTTGAATGTACTGTAAGAAATATTTTTTAGGGGAGGCATGGTAGCTCACGCCTGTAATCCCAGCTCTTTGGGAAGTCAAAGTGGGTCGTTCACTTGAGCCCAAGAGGTCGAGACCAGCCTGGGCAACATGGCAAAACCCTGTCTCTACTACTAATGAAAAAAATTCGTGGGACATGGTTGTGCATGCCTGTAGTCCCAGCAGCTTGGGAGGCTGAGGGGGGAGGATGGCTCGTGCCCGAGAGGCAGAGGTTGCAGTGAGCCATGATCACACCACTGCGCTCCAGCTTAGGCAACAGAAATGAGACTCAGTGTCAAAAAAAGAAAAAAAGACACATATTTAGAGACAGGTGTGTTTATGTGTTACAGAAATGAATGGTTATGTGTTGGCTTTCCAGACAGCTTTGGAGCACGTCTCCACGGATCTTCATCAAGATCCAGAGAACACCTGAACTTACATGACTTGGGATTTCTGGATAATGGGAAGAAAGCGGAAGCAGCATTTTAGACTGGACTTATTAAACGTTAAGATGACCATATGCCAGAACTTGTATTTGTTTATTAAGTTGTTATTCAATACTCAGTGCCCAGATATTGTTTACTATGCCCTGCATCAGGCAGAGCTGAGCAAAGACTCATTGAACAGAGCTCAGGCCCTAGTGAAACAGATGGGCATGCAAGTGAATACTTCCTGCATAGCATGGTAAGTGCTTGAACAGAGATCTGTGCAAGGTGCAGTGATACACCTGAAAGTAAAGAATTATTGGCCGGGCGCGGTGGCTCACGCCTGTAATCCGAGCACTTTCAGAGGCCGATCACCTGAGGTCAGGAGTTCAAGACTAGCCTGGCCAACATGGTGAAACCCCATCTCTACTAAAAACTACAAAAATTAGCTGGGTGTGGTGGTGGATGCCTGTAATCCCAGCTACTTGGGAGGCTGAGGCAGGAGAATCACTTGAACCTGGGAGGTGGAGGTTACAGTGAACCGAGATCGCGTCACTGCACTCCATGCTGGGCAACAGAGGGAAACTCTGTGTCAAAAAAAAAAAAAAAAAGTAATAAAATAAAAGTATTATTATCTCTGTTATGTGTTGTTAGGGAAGACGTTTTAGAATGAACCGCTGAAGTGGCTCTTAAGAATGAGGAGAAATTTGTCAAGCTTCTAAAGCAGAGGAGAGCGTGTCAGCTAGGACCAAAGGCATGGAGGCATTTGGAACACATGGTATGATGTGGACTACAAGGAATTTACATTGGTGGCTGGGAGGACAGGAGCTGGAAAGGTCAGTAGAGTTTTGTATGTCATGCAAAGAAGTATTAATTGTGAGGGATGGATGACATTGAAAGGTTTCAAACTCGAGCATAACAGGATCAAATTGGTGTTTTAGAATTTTCCCCTGGCTGCTGTGTGGAGGAGAGATTTGTGGAGAGAGAAAGGACTGGAAATCCTCCAGTAGGAAACAACCGAGGCATCGGGCTAGGATCAGCCTATGAGGGCTGAACGAACTCAGTGCAGCAAAGGAGAGGGAGGCATACATTAAAGAGTTACTTAGGAAGTACCTGCCAGAGGATTTGATGGCCATTTTGGTGTGCATGATGAGGGAAAGGAGAAGCAAGCCTAGGGTAATTGATGGGTTCCTGTCTTTCCAGAGCGGCTGGACAGAGGCACCATTATCCTGGTTTGGATGCACAGAAAGGGGGGCCAGGTGATAAGGGGTTAGGGTAGGGTTGAAAAAGAATAACGAGTTTGGGTCATGTTGATTTTTTGAGGTGGTACATCTGGTAGGTGGGTAAGTGGGTCTGGAACTCAGAAGAAATAGAGTCTTGGTTGTCGTCAATGATAGTGAAAGCCGTGAAGTCAGCCTGGAAGAGAATATTGAAGACACAGAGATGAGGACCAAGCCTGGAGCACTGACAAATGCTGGCCAGCCCAGGAGGTGGGCACAGAGGGAGGAGTTCAGGAAGGAGGCTGGGTCAGTTGTGGGGCAGGGAATCACCTGTCGTCAGGGAGCCACTGAAGCCAACAGAGGACGGAGCCTCAAGAAGTTGCATCGAGGGTTCGTCCTTATTTTGGATTATGTGATGAATGAAAAGTGTTACTAAAGATGAACTGTAGTCTATAGTTAGCACAATTAAAATCCATATTTGCTATTAAGAACAAAGTTTACTTTTAGAGACCATTTATAAATTGGTGTTTTTCATGCCTAAGATCTGTTATTAAAGGTTAGAGATTAAAGGACTTTATAAAGAATTATCCATTATTTGCTGTGCCTGGTGCTTTTCTTGCTTCAGATTGATTAAGTTCTTTTTTTTTTTTTTTTTTTTTTAGACTAAGTCTCGCTCTGCTGCCCAGACTGGAGTGCAGTGGCACAATCTCGGCTCACTGCAACCTCCACCTCCCGGGTTCAAGCGATTCTTGTGCCTCAGCCTCCCAAGTAGCTGGGATTACAGGCGTGTGCCACCACACCTGGCTAATTTTTGTATTTTTAGTGGAGATGGGGTTTCACCATGTTGGCCAGGCTGGTCTCTAACTCCTGACCTCAAGTGATCCACCCGCCTCGGCCTCCCAAAGTGCTGGGATTACAGGTGTGAGCCACCGTGCCTGGCCAGATTCACTGAGTACTTTTATAGAAGGGCCTGCGTCCATAGCCAAGTCCTACTTTATATAATTGTGATATTATACAGATATTTCCACTTTGGTTCCATTTCCTCTCATTATAAACCCTGCTTCTCATAGTGGCTTTGGGTGCCTAACCTGGACTTACAGAGCAAGAAAGTGAGGCTCCAGGCCACACCCACCAGAGCAGCTGAGAAGAAAAAAAAAAGAATTGAAGAGTCTCTGGTCTCTGCTTAACAGCGAGCTACCCCGCTTGCTTATAATTAAAAGTCTATTACGATTTCTACTTCAAACGTAACATTTTCCTACCTGCAGTAGATACCCTTAGAAGAGGAGTTTGGAACCTTCCCATAGGGCAGAGTGGGAGTGCTTCTCAACAAAATACTCATTAGGACCTTTCATCTCAAAGATGAAAGATCTTTCAGACATTGGTAATCCCCACAAAATCCCTTTGAGGCTGGTAGGTGGAAAATGCAATGTTCTGGATGGGGAGAGAGACGTAAGGGTGCCTGCCCCAGAGCAACTTGTTGGGAACTCAACGCTTGAGCCAAGATACTGATTTGTGATCTCAACCCAGATGCACCACAGTTGCTATCCTGTATTGATGACACCATTATGATACCAGGTCCTACTTCAATCATGCACTGTCATGCCTCAGCAATACCTGATATTATTATTGATTTGTTGATATGGCTACAAGGGATCTAATGAAAAGAAAATTCCTAACGACAAACTTAATTTTGACTTCCTCTCCATATCAGAGTTAACTTCTAAAGTTTTCCTTTGTAAAATAGTGCACCATGACTTTAAAATATCTGTGTAAGGTTTAAGAATATTAATTTTATTTAATTAATTTAAAGTAATGATAAGCTTTTTTTTTGTTTGTTTTTTTGTTTTTTGAGGTGGAGTCTCGCTCAGTCGCCCAGGCTGGAATGGCATGATCTTGGCTCACTGCAACCTCCACCTCCCAGGTTCAAGGGATTCTCCTGCCTCAGTCTCCTGAGTGGCTGGGACTACAGACGCCCATCACCACACCTGGCTAATTTTTATATTTTTAGTAGAGTCGGGGTTTCGCCACGTGGGCCAGGTGGGTCTCGAACTCCTGACCTCACGTGATCCGCCTGCCTTGGCCTCCCAAAGTGCTGGGATTACAGGCATGAGCCACCCCACTTAGCCTGTAACGATAAGTTTATTTCAAATGTTCTTCCAAATTATTATCAAGAAGGCTTTTTCTTGTGTGTTTATTACGTTCTTTCTAAGAGACTAAGAGGCTGTTAGTTCCTAAAGCCACTGATGCACTTTAGTCTTCAGAGCTGATCCCAGCGGTCTTTGAAATAGCGTTAGAACCTCTGAGGATTCAGCCTGGGTGGAGACTCTGTCTCAAAAAAAAAAAAAAAAAAAAAAAAACCTCTGAGGATTGTCAGTAGAGGTGGAGATGGGACCTTCTGACCACAGCGCTGGGGAGTCAGAGGGTGGAGGGGCAGCTGGTCAAATGGTGAGTGGTGAATGGGTCTCGATGCAATTCTGGATAAGTCTGGATAAGGACGGTGGGTGCAGCCGCGGCTCTGGACCAGGGTGGCAGGGTGTGGTACAGGGCCAGAGGGCAGTGGGCAAGGAATGCAATCCTGGCTACTCCAGGTTACTCTCTCACAGCGGGAAGGGACTAAATGTAGGAGGTGAGGGGAGGCTGGGTTGGATTAAATGTTCAAGTTGACAAAGTAAAAAGAAAAATTCTCTGCATAATTATTAATAGTACAGAATGTTTTCAAAACTGTGCTAATGATCATAGGAACATTTTAAATGTAGCTATGGTCTGTTGTAGCTAGATGACGATAAACTAAATGGAATATTGGCCTTTTGTGTCGTTACTTGGGAATGAAAAAAAAAAAAACCCAACAACCAACTCTTCAAGACAGCTGTCATCCTTGTGTTTTTATTTTACTTTTCTTAAGGGTTGGGCCACAGTGACTCTACCATAGCTTTCCTCCCCTGATCCCACTGGGGAGTCCCTAGGATTTTGAATGAGGTGAGAACAAGATTTGACAAAAAGAATTAGTGTGTAATAACACAGAAGGAGAGAATAAAGGTTGAAGATTCCTTATCTGAAATGCATGGGACCAGAAGTGTTTTGGATTTTGAATTATTCAGATTTTTGAATATTTGCATATACATAATGAGATAGCCTGGGGATGTTTCCCAAATCTAGACATGAAATTTGTTTATGTTTCATAGATACCTTATATGCATAGCCCGACGGTAATTTTATATTCGAAAGAATTTTGTGCATGAAACAAAGTTAAGGTACATTGAACTGCTGCCAGAAAGCAAAGGTGTCACTATTTCTGCCATCCGTGTGAACAATCTGTGGTTGTATACTATCACCATTATTCCTTAATTCGTATGATTACCAAAAAGTGATCATTTTCTTACACTTATTCATATGACATACTATCAATACACTGAAAAAATAACGTGTAGCGAAGCAACAGCATAGCATCCCCCGAATACCCACATCAGCTGTTAAACCACGCCAACAACAGACAGGGCAGGTTTTCAGTCTCCACCTGCAATGCTGTGTTTTGACTAGAAGCGTCTGCATTTTGACTGTGACCTGTCTCATGAGGTCAGGTGCAGAATTTTCCACTTGCGGTGTCATGTTGGTGCTCAAAAAGTTTCAGATCCTTCATAATAATTGGGTTGGGGCGTGAGGCATGGGGGATGGAGCTTCCTGGGGTGGCTTGAGAGGTGGGAGTGGGTGGAGCATTTGTTCAGGGACCTGACATCTCGGCTCAAATTATATTACTCTGTGGCGTTCCAAAAATCAATAAATGTGGGTGTCATCCTCTTCCCACCCTGCACCATCTACAGTCATTTTCTCATTGAGGTTTTAGTTATTCATCCTTACGAAATAATAGGTAATAAAATGCCTATGGGAAATATGTTGCTAATTCCATGCCGAAGTAATTAAAATTAAAGGTCTGAAATGCTTTCAGTAGAAGGAAATTCTGCAATTATGGCTTAGGGGGAAGTACAAAGAATTTAGGCCTAGTAATTGTAATTTGATGCTAATTGGTATGGACTTTCTAATTTGTTAACTGAGAGAGGTGGGGATTGGTTGCTGGGTGGACAACTAGGAGAACAGCAAAATCCTGAAAATATAACGTAGGTCAAACCCTTAGTCACATCCCTGCTACTCAGTGTTTGAAATTCACATCCTTTTCTTTTCTTTTTTTTTAGACAGAGTCTTGCTCTGATGCCTAGGCTGACAGTGCAGTGCAGTGGCACGTGATTGTGGCTCACTGCAACCTCCACCTCCCAGGTTCAAGCGATTTTCCTGCCTTAGCCTCCCGAGTAGCTGGGATTACATGCGTGTACCGCCATGCCTGGCTAATTTTTGTATTTTTAGTAGAGACGGAGTTCTGCCATGTTGTCCAGGCTGGTCTCGAACTCCTGACCTCGGATGATCCACCCTCCTCGGCCTCCCAAAGTGCTGGGATTACAGGCATGAGCCATAGCACCCGGTCGAAATTCATATCCTTTTCTACAAATTCCTTTTATTTCACATACATAACGTTTATGAATACATTTGTCATAACTCATGCTAATTTATCAGTAATTCCCATAGTTTATTGTACATTGGGCTTGAAAAACAGGAAGCTGTTCTATAAACTCCTAAAGCATGTTCACTATTCTTTTTAGTGATAAGTAATTTTTTTTTTTTTTTTAAAGAACAGGAACCCTATAGGCTTAGCCTTAGGCTCAGCTCAGAAAAGGATCTATAATAACTTGACCATTCAGAAGACTTCCATGCTAGCCTGGGGTTGGAGGAAGCCTCAATGCCCTAAATAATGTAATTGCTATTGATTTTAGAATATTAAGAAAATATTTTTAGAATATTACTATAGATATTGAAGCACAGCAATCTCCAAGTCTCATTGTGCTGCCTTCTCAATTTTCCCTTTGACGTAAAATTTACTCACTCAGTTCCTAGAGAAATATTTTTTAAAAAGGGTTTCAGTATTTGTTAGTAACGGACATTGAGGCCTGGCCTTGGTATTACTGAGTCATCTTGTTAGCCTTTCGCTTGTTAAAAATATTTCGAAGTTTTTATTAGTGCTGCTTACGATGGAAGAAAGCCTGCATTTCATGGCAACGATTAGAGAAACCAGGACGGGAGGAGAGAACTAACATTTATTATTTAACTTTCTTAACTTGTCATAGGGCAGTGTGTCAGGTAATTGAAAGATATTTTCTCATTTTGTTTTCACAGAAGCCCTGGAGGGTGGGCGTAATTGTTTTCATTTTGCAGGGGGGAAATTAGCTGTAGAGAGACAGGTAAGTGACCCAAACCCTACCAAGTGGCAGACCTGGGGTTTGCCTGTAGCGCCTCACTGGCCTATTGATTCATGTGGCTGGCATTCTTATGAATGAGCTCTTTCTACTTTGAAAACACACTTTTGGATTTAACAAGTAATGATGTAACATGTAACTGCTTTGCAATTAATCCTTGCTCAATATTGATTAATGGTGACAGTCTAGTGCTGTGGGAGGGGCTCTCTGATTGCTGACCTCTGACTTCTGCTTTCCAACTTGACTTTTTTTTTTGAGACAGGGTCTCACTCTGTCACTCAGGCTGGAGTGCAGTGGTGCAGTCACGGCTCCTCCTGGGCTCAAGTGATCTTCCTACCTCAGCCTCCCAAGTAGCTAGGACTACAGGCATATGCCACCATGTTTGGCTAATTTTTTTTATTTTTTGTGGAAATGGGCTTTTGTCATGTTGCTCAGGCTGGTCATGAACTCCTGGACTCAAGTGATCTGTCCGCCTAGGCCTCCGAAAGTGCTGGGATTACAGGTGTGAGCCACTGCGCCCAGCCTCGAGTTCACTTTAATGAAAAAAGCACAAGTGACAGCTTGGCCTTTAGTAGCTGCCAGCATTAGGCATCCTTATCTGCTTTTCTCCTTGTACTCACGTCACGCATGGGACCATCAGACTTGGTGCTTCTCTGTGTCTTTTGTGGTTTCAGGCTTCCTGGTTTCTCTGTCATTTCACCCATGCTGTCCTCCTTATGGGGATCCTGGGCCTCCCTGGTTCCTCACGTCCAACTCGGACACATTCTTCAAGGCCAGGCCAGCCAGCAAGGCTTTCCAGCTCTGCCCTGACATCATCCCGCCTCTGTCTGAACTCCCACCCAGGAGAGGTGCTCTCATGCTCGGTGATCCTAACAGCCTCTGGCAGGCAATCTTTCCTGCTCCCAGTCTGCTCTCATTTAATGGGTGCAGCATCTGCCTTTATCTCTCTGGAAGTAGATTCCACACACTCTTCAAATCCTTTTTAAAGTTCTGAAGTTTGTTTCATTACAGAAGTTGATGTTTTCCGTTAGGTGTGTTTTGTTTGCTTCTCCCTTTAAGCTGGATCCCAAATATATCTTCCTCTAGTTTGACTTGATGATCTTAGTGGTTATTGCTGCCTGAAATCCTGTTTCAGATACATTTAATGGATTTTCTTGTGTTTTTTGGTGTTTTTCTTTTTTTTTTGTAAACCAAGGATAGTTTCTTTCCCTCATTCTGGATGACCAGTTTATCTTTGTTTTTTTGTTTTTGTTTTTTTGAGGCAGAGTCTTTCTCTCTTGCCCAGGCTGGAGTGCAGTGGTGCGATCTCGGCTCACTACAACCTCTGCCTCCTGGGTTCAAGCGATTCTCCCACGTCAGCCTCCCGAGTAGCAGGGATTACAGACACCCGCCACCATGCCCAGCTAATTTTTGTATTTTTACTAGAGACTGGGTTTCACCATGTTGGCCAGGCTGGTCTCAAACTCCTGACCTCAGGTAATCTTCCGGCCTTGGCCTCCCAAAGTGCCGGGATTACAGACGTGAGCCTCCTCGCCTGGACCCAGATGGCCAGTTTATCTTGCCTCTTTCTGGAATTTGTCAGATGTCTTTGCTGTCTTTTTTCCCCTTTGGCTCTAGGTCCTTTGATTACTGGTGCTGTGCCTGATTCCTCCTTGTGTAATTAATGCATAGTGCCTAGCACACCAACCTTGCTAGAAATTGGGACAAATGTTACTGTATGTGAAATGACTGACTTGTCAGCTATAGTCAGTACAGCTGGGGGTTCAGATGTTCATCTTGTGAAACTTGGAGCTGACTCTTTATGGATCCTAGCATTTGCTTTGTTCAAAAAATTTCTAATAGAGGCCAGGCACAGTGGCTCACGCCTGTAATCCCAGCACTTTGGGAGGCCTAGGCGGGTGGATCACTTGAGGTCAGGAGTTCGAGACTAGCCTAGCTAACATGGTGAAATCCCATTTCTATTAAAAATACAAAAAATCAGCTGGGCGTGATGGTGCATGTCTGTAATCCCAGCTTCTCAGAAGGCTGAGGTAGGAGAATCGCTTGAAACTGGGAGGCAGAGGTTGCAGTGAGACGAGACTGTGCCACTGCACTCCAGCCTGGTTAATAGAGTGAGACCTTGTCTCAGAAACAAAAAACAAAAAACATAACCCCAAAAGTTTCTTATGTGGATTTGCTGCTTGGATCGTTCTGATGATGGTAAAATGAAACAGGAACAGCTCTCTGACCCCTGGAAACTCTCATGTGTTCCTTTCAACAAAATTCATTGATGAATCACAACCCAAAGTAGCCTTCTGTCAAGTGTTTTTCTCCCTTGCCAGAGAGGCACGTTATCCGCCCCGTGGCTGTCAGCTTTATCCTCCTTAGCATTGTTCAAAACCTTATCTCTGATGTCCATACCGCTGACACAGGTATCACAAGGGCCTTCTCGGTGGGCTGGTGCCTCTTTATCTCCCTTGGACTGGTTGTCAGTGGGAGGAAATGAAAACACTTACGGAGAGTGCTTAAGAGAGAATTTATTACAAAACTACATTTTGTGGGCAAGGTATATAACCACAGCTTTTCTTGTTCTGAGATATTTAGCTTTGGACAGAAGTTTAGGTAAAGCAACATGGCATCCTTTTTTTTTTTTCTGGGAGACAGAGTCTTGCTCTGTCCCCCAGGCTGGAGTACAGTGGCACAATCTCTGCTCACTGCAACCTCCGCCTCCCAGGTTCAAGCGATTCCCCTGCCTCAGCCTCCTGAGTAGCTAGGATTACAGGTGTGCGCCACCATGCCCAGCTAATTTTTGTATTTATAGTGGAGACGGGGTTTCACCATGTTGGCTGGTCTCGAACTCCTGACCTCATGATCCGCCCACCTCAGCCTCCCAGAGTGCTGGGATTATAGACGTGAGCCACTGTGCCCAGCTGCAACGTGGCATCTTCAAGTGCCAGGTCAAAAATGGCGCCTTTTAAGTTACCCAGAAAGTACAGTTAGTATGTTGCTATAAAGTAGCTTTGGAAATAATGCTTCCCATCCTGACCAACATCCCCAGTCTTGGGATGAACCTGTGAGATATCCCCAGAGGGCAGCGTGACAGTTGAAGTAGATCTTGAAATGAACCTTGCCTGGGATGAGCTCGATTCTTCTCTGGAGAGGTCTGTAGCACTCACTTTCTCAGCTAAGCTCATGCCTCTGAAATCATTGTTTCCTGGAGGTCCACAGTGAGGGGGCCAGTCAGGAAATATTTCTTTGTTTAGTGAATCGTTAGCTTTTGCTTTGTCTACAGGAAGGAAAAGTGTGACAGCTTTGAAAAAGAAAGAGGGTAAAATATTTTAACCACCCTTGGTGTCATTTGTGGCAGCCTATAGCATTAGAGCCTTTGAGAACAGATCTTTCCAGATTCTGCTTAAGTCCAGGGATTCTGTGACCGCAGAAATGACTGGCATCTCCATCTGCTCGTGCATCTGTTTGTTTCTTCCTTCATTGATTCACTCATTCCCCCCGCCCATGTACTTACAGTCATTCAACAATTATCTACTTTCAAGGCATTGGGAAAGGGATCATTGGTCACACTGTCTTTATTATAAATGAGTCTTCTGAAAAAAAAAAAAAGCCACAATGTATTTTTCCCATAACATGCCACTTTTCAGAAATTATGTCTAGTCTTGGAATGAGGTAAAGTTACCGTTTGGAAAATGCACTTGGCTCAGTCAACTGAGCCCTGAGATAAAGCTAGGAGTCCCTGTCCAGCCATGGTTAACTTCTAGGAACCATTCACACAGAGCCCAGGCAGGCAGAGGCTCCCTGAAAGCCACTTATTCCACAGGTACTTGTTGAGGGCTGTTTAAGCCACAGTTCCATAGGGATGGCTCAGCCTCCGTGAAAGGTTTGAACACACTGCTTGATACAAAAGTGGTTGAGGAATTTGTTTGGTGCTTGCCCTTTCAAGTGATGTGTGAATGTTTCTTTCTTGTTGTCAGGTCAGTAAATCTCTCGTTTTTTTTACCCCCTGACTTTCTCTTAAGGAGCACTTGAATCCCTCTTGTAGGGTAGCTGCTGCTTGCATTTTTGTTCTCGCTCAAGCCACCTTTTTCATCAGCTGTTGTGCCAATCTTCTGCCTCAGTAGTTATTCAGTGGTCCCCCATTTGGTTTTATTTATTCACCTCTTTCATCCCTATCCTGCCTCAGTACTGAAAAGAAGCACTTTGCTCAATCTAAGGATGGGGTAAAGAAAAGGATAATATCGTACTAATAGGCCAGGCGCAGTCGCTTACACCTGTAATCCCAGCACTTTGGGAGGCCGAGGTGGGAGGATCACTTGAGACCAAAAATTCGAGACCAGCCTGGGTGACACAGTGAGACCTTGTCCCTACACAAAATAAAAAAATAGCCAGGTGTGGTGGTGCATACGTATAGTCTCAGCTACTCAGGAGGCTGAAGCGGGAGGATTGCTTAAGTCTGGGAGGGAGACGCTGCAGCAAGCCATGATCATGCCACTGCACTCCAGCCTGGGCAGCAGAGCAAGACCCTGTCTCTAAAAACTAGCTAACTAAATAAAATAGGCCAGGCACTGTGGCTCACGCCTGTAATCCCAATACTTTGGGAGGCTGAGGTGGGTGGATTACCTGAGGTCGGGAGTTCAAGACCAGCTGGACCAACATGGAGAAATCCTGTCTCTACTAAAAATACAAAATTAGCTGGGCGTGGTGGCACACACTTGTAATCTCAGCTACTCGGGAGGCTAAGGCAGGAGAATCACTTGAACCCAGAAGGCGGAGGTTGCAGTGAGCCAAGATTGTACCATTGCACTCCGGCCTGGGCAACAAGAGTAAAACTCCATCTCAACCCA
The DNA here is from genome assembly GCF_000001405.40 of Homo sapiens. NCBI lineage: Eukaryota > Metazoa > Chordata > Mammalia > Primates > Hominidae > Homo > Homo sapiens. The sequence continues at coordinate 155,082,657 of NC_000006.12, forward strand.
AAAAAACCCCAATAAATAAATAAATAAATAAATAAATAAATAAATAAATAAATATCGTAGAAGTGCAAGCTGTTCCTTTAGTGAATGGATAGATATCATGTCTTTTGGTAGTTCCTTTAGCTGTTAAAGTAGGGTATTTTGCCTATTGTAGAGAGAGAGCCTTACTATACTTGGAGCTTTTATTGGTGAAGTTAACTAGGTGGGAGGTTCTGACAGATGGTGAGGGATATGGAAGGGATAATCCAGAGTCCCTGCTACTTTTTAACACTCCCTCCCCAAAATCATTCTCTTCTATTTGTTTATGAATCTTATTCCTTCTTTCTTCTCTCGCCTCATCTCTCTTTGCCAGGACTGATGATGAGATGGTTCTGAGTATTGATTGACAGGGCTGGAAAAGAAGTAGAGGTGGGGCCGGGCACAGTGGCTCATGCCTGTAATCCCAGCGCTTTGGGAGACCGAGACAGGTGGATCACCTGAGGTCAGGAGTTCAAGACCAGCTCGGTGAACATGGCGAAACCCCTGTCTCTACTAAAAGTACAAAAATTAGCCGGGGATGGTGGCGTGCACCTGTAATGCCAGCTACTCAGGAGGCCGAGGCAGGAGAATCACTTGAACCCTGGAGGCAGAGGTTACAGTGAGCCAAGATCGTGCCAGTGCACTCCAGTCTGGGCAACAGAGTGAGACTTTATCTCAAAAAAAAAAAAAAAAAAAAGAGAGAGAGAGAGAGAGATGGGCAAGACACTTATTTCATAGGAAGGAGGAAGAGGGAAGCAGGCATTTACTGCTGTGGCCACACAGCTGGTTTCCTGGCCCCGTGCAGCTTTATTTCTAATGTGCAATGTGATTGTCTGCCCCTGTTGTCCACAGGACTAGCCTGCTGCCATAAACATGGTGCATGTTGTAAATATTGCACAAGCCTCCCCAGATACTAAATATGTGTAATTCTTGGGGCATGGATTGTGTGGTTCATTTGGAAGTGATGAGGAATTATTATATTGCTGTTCCCTAATGAAGAAAGTCACTTTGCCTGGTGAGTTTTGTCTGTCAACTGGATGAGGATCATCCCTCTGTCTGGAAGCCAGAATTCAGTGGCAGCTTTTAGATACCAATGCTAAGTCAATTTCTTTTGTCTTGGCAAGGGATGGCATAGTATTTCCAGAAGTAAAGTCTTATATGCTGGACAATGTGGCAACAGATGACATACGAAACCAGATAAATGTAGCCTTAGGGCTTCAGGGCAAATGCACCAAGAGAACCAGGCATAAACCTCCTGGCATTTTTTGGCCCAGCCCTGGAAATCCTAGTGTCACGTTGGCTGTACTATATAGGTTGAAGCAGAATCGAGGTGAAGGGGGCATAGGGCTGCCCACCTCCCCTTCCTAAGAGGAGTGTCAGAGAACTTACTGACCTGTTTTAAAACACGAATAGGATCCTAGTGGAGAAAGATCCATTCTGATCTACCTGGGGCACTGCATGTAGGTAATTTCTGTGGTGTGAGTGTTACTATTCTTGTATTTGAGTCTTACTTGAAGACAGGGATAGGGGCCACTCTGGTGGGGTAGGAGCCACTTCACAGCCTCTTACCCCCACCCCCAACCATGTTCCCCACCACACGTGTTGGGACTAATGGCTTGCTTGTGTACAGGCAAGATCAGAAGCAAGCTGTGTCACCATCGTATTTCCAGCACTTAGCATAGTGACTTGAACAGAATAGATATTCAACAAATACTTCTTGAATTGAATGTCATTAACTAAAAAATAGTGCTAACTTTTGTATCCTTGAGTTTTGTCACTGGATACGTGAACCCTTGTGGGACTCCCAGGAAAGACTTACTCTAAACAGGAGCCAGATTGACTGATGTGATCACCAGCCTAGGGAGAGCAGTGAACAAAATGGGTATACCTTGTTCTCCTTCTAGCTGGCCATTGATTTTTTTTGGTGTTTCACATGGGCTGTTTTATAAATAACAACGGTCTTTTTGTAACTTGGCTTACAGTACTCAGTAAATACTGTGCTCCATGTGTATAGGAGTCTGTCCTTTGGGGAGGATAGACTGAAACTTGCTGTTTTCATTGTAATTAGTCATCCCTTTGTCATGAATGGCAGCTTCTCTCCCATTCTATAGTCTACTGGGTAACTCTACAGTTTTCCTTTGTTGAGTGCAGCATCTGATTCCATTAGTTCTTTGTGCAGGAACAGTGCATTAGTGTGGACGTGGGAGGCTGGTGAAAATTGTTATTTAAGGCATACCACATTATGATGTAGTCTTACCTAATGCCTTGGAATAAGAGTCACAGAATGGTTTGTTCATTATGTCTGAAATCTCTACGGGCCCTGAGTGATGAGATAATAAGTAATCCACCTGTAAATGGAGACTCTGGAGGGCCCAGTTAGATCCTACAAACCTGGGTCACAGGAGGGGTTAAGGGAGATGGGAGTTACATTTCTCACTCCCAGTCCTGGAAAACATCCCACTTTCTGTATTGTTTTCTTACAAACATTGAGTCGAATCTCTGAATTGATAAGCTGCCTAGCTGATAACGAGGCTAAAGTAAACCCAGCAACTTTAAAACATGTTTTAAATTCAGGGAGATGGTGGCTACAAAGAAGATACAATTTGAAGAAGGCATGAATTTGAGAGAAAATTTTTAGTAACAAATGCATTCTACTTACGTAGAGGTGGGAGGCATGTTTGAAGGGCACAGGGTAAGTAGTAACTTTCTCTTTCCTTCCCCACCTTTTCTCATTGACCTGCATTGACAGTTGTGCTGCGTACTGTGGGCTTGCACACTGGTTCACCTGACAATGAAAGTTTTATAAACTCTGGGCACTCTGAACTTCACCCAGTCCTTGGCAGTAGGCTTCTAGATTGACTAATCATGTAGTATTTCTTAGATGTGGCCATTAAAAAAAAAAACAACTTTGTGATGTAGTTGAAGGTCTGGATTATATTCAGCTTTCGAGTAGGACATGGGGCAGAATCCCTAGCACTGTAAAAATAAAACCACTTTTCATCACAAAGCTCAAGGGAAAAGAATGTAAGGTGTGTTCATGTTAAATTAAAATTACACTGATGTCATGGTGCAAACAGGCAGCTCCAAGGCTGCGGGACTGGCTGGTTTTCATGCTGATAAAAGCATGAGCCATCAGTCTTGATTGATGACTCTGTCCACACGTGGCACCTATGTGCTGTGAGAGATACAAGCACTCTTTGTGTAAGCAAAAGCATAGCATTGCTTGAGTTTTATTATAGATATAGTTTACCTAGCACCACCTTGGATCTCATAGACTCACATACTCAAGGTGCCCTGTTTGATCTTTCTGTGGTCACAAGATATTGCAGTCCCGGCCCACTGCAAATTCTCCCTTAAAATGGGACTTTCCCTGGCAGCGAAGCCCAGTCTCCACTGTTGAAAGAATAGCCACTTGCTGGATTGCAGTCCAGCTCAGGGAAGCTTCATTGTTCACGTGGCACTGGAGCATGTGAGGAACGCAGAGAGGGTCCTGAGGAAGGCGCTGAGATCCAAGGAAGAGCATTCTTGGAACCAGTAACTTGTCATTGCTGGAAACAGAGCTGTTGTAGCTGTTTGGAGATCTGAGTTCTAGTCTTAGCTCTTTCCCGCTGTCTACATGAGAGGTCTACTTGATCTTTACTGGACTTCACTTTCTTCATCTGCAAAGTGAACAGGGATGAAGTCAATGTGCTCTAAGCTTAAATATTCTATAATCCTGCTTAAAATCATTTCCATCCAAAATGACCTGTAGTTGGCCGGGCACGGCGACTTACACCTGTAATCCCAGCACTTTGGAAGGCTGAGGCGGGTGGATCACCTGAGGTCAGGAGTTCGAGACCAGCCTGACCAACATGGCAAAACCCCATCTCTACTAAAAATACAAAAATTAGACAAGTGTGGTGGCGTGCACCTGTAATCCCGGCTACTCAGGAGGCTGAGGCGGGAGAATTGCTTGAACCTAGGAGGCAGAGGTTGCAGTGAGCTGAGATCGCGCCACTGTACTCCAGCCTGGGCAACAGAGTGAGGCTCCATCTTGGAAAAAAAAAAAAAAAACCCCAACAAAAACCACCAAAATGACCAGTAGTTAAGCTGCAGCTTCCTCTTTAACTCAAGTTATGGCGATATGATGGAAAAGCAAGCCAAGCCACATATTAATCACGTTGTATTAGCAATTTGACGAATCAGTTATTTCATGAACACATTTATTAAGCACCCATGAGTAAGGAATTGTGTCAGGCACCAGGGAAACAAAGTACTTCACTTTCAAAGCAGTTCTAGTAAAGGGGAAAGGTAAGTGAGTTCTAGTAAAGGAGACAAATGAGTGAAAAAGAAATAATTGCGAGGCAATTGCCTATATCAGAAAGAGTGGTGAGGTGAAGGAGGGAGCAATAACCCTGTGAGGTTCGGGGTATGATGGTAGGTGATCAGAGGAAGAGACACTTAAGCTGGGTCTTGAGGGGCAATTAGGAGTTCTCCAGGGAGGTGTTCCCTGTAGAGAACAGTATATGCAAAGGCATAGAAACCAAAAAACATGAAATCACATGGTATTTGGAATGAACATGTGGAAAGTTCTGTTATGTAACAGATGCTTGAGATCCAACATTATTATCATTGGAAACATTAAAATATGGCAGATCTTATATTTTATAGTTTTCAGTTAGTAAATCATTTATGAGGCCATCAGTAAAATATTACAAGTCTTGGTTTTTAAAGATTGTCAGTATGATGTATTTAGACAGAGCCTAGTGAAGCTTGATTCAGTATTCTTTTCTTATCATTTGAAAATATTTTTTTCGGCTGGGTGCAGTGGCTCACGCCTGTAATTCCAGCACTTTGGGAGGCTGACGCAGGTGGATCACTTGAGCTCAGGAGTTCGAGACCAGCCTGGCCAACATGGTGAAACCCTGTCTCTACTACAAATACAAAAATTAGCCAGGCGTGGTGGTGGGTGCCTGTAATTCCAGCTGCTTGGGAGGCTGAGGCAGGAGAATTGCTTGAACTCGGGAGGCGGAGGTTGCAGTGAGCTGAGATCGCGCCATTACACTCCAGCCTGGGTGACAGAGTGAGACTCCATCTCAAAAAATGAAATAAATAAAATAAAATAAATAAAAAATTTGTCCATACTGGGTTAATGACAAAGCAAATTTAAAAGTTTTAAGTAAATATGGAATGTATTCTATAAGGTAGGCATTCTTGACCAGATATAACAAATCTCTGAACTAATTATGTCGCCTTGGTCAAATCACACTACCTCTTTGAGTTTTAAATTCTCACCTGTAGAATGAGGGAAATGGGTCCATCCCAATCCTGATATCCTATAAATGAAAACTGTTCTTTTTAGTATGCCAGGTTGTATAGGTGTATTTCTTTTTCTTTCTTTCTTTTTTTTTTTTTTTTTTTTGAGACGTAGTTTTGCTCTTGTTGCCCAGGCTGGAGTGCAATGGCATGATCTCGTTCACTGCAACCTCTGCCTCCCAGGTACAAGTGATTCTTCTGCCTCAGCCTCCGGAGTAGCTGGGATTACAGGCATGCGCCACCACGCCCGGCTAATGTTTTGTATTTTTAGTAGAGACGGGGTTTCTCCATGGAGTTCAAACCCCAGCCACTCCATGTTGGCCAGGCTGGTCTCGAACTCACGACCTCAGGTGATCTGCCCACCTCGGCCTCCCAAAGTGCTGGGATTACAGGCGTGAGCCACTGCACCCGGCCCCGGTATAGGTGTATTTCTATAGCATGAGTCATTGTGATAGTCAAACCTTTCTCAATAGTGACCATTTACACTGAAAGTCTAGTTGTGGTTTTTTGCTACTTTGAGTATGTCACATGTTTCAAGTAATTTATTAAGTATTTTATGTGCATTATTTCATTAAACAGTTAGAATAACCCTGTAGTGTAGATCATATTTCCATTTTATAGTTGAAGAAACCAGAGGCTCAGACAATCTAAATAACTGGGCTGAGCTCACTGAGGTGGTCATGGAGTGGCTGGGGTTTGAACTCCAATCTCAGTCCCCTTGCTCTAAGGCAAGCTTGTCCAACCCATGGCCTGTGGGCCACCTGCGGCCCAGGATGGCTTTGAATGCAGCCCAACACAAATTCGTAAAATTTCTTTAAACATTATTAGACCTTTTTTGCAATTTTTTTTAAAAGCTCATCAGCTATCATTAGTGTTGATGTATTTTAGATGGCACCCAGGACAGTTTCTCTTCCAGTGTGACTCAGGGAAGCCAAAAGATTGGACATCCCTGCCCTAAAGTCTGCATTCTTTATCAAGGACTGCATTCTGGGTTAAGGACACATGGTTATTGCCATAAAACAGTATCTTGTTTACATCACAGAGTTAATATCATGCCTTCTAAAAAGGTAAGTCTCACTATGAAAGCAGTCTGTTTCACATTTTAAACAATGAAAAAAAAGAGGTACTTTCTGATGTGTTGACTAATGGACCATGAGTTTTAATATATAACCAGGTGGTAGCATATCAAATACAGGAAGAAAGTATTATTCTCCATAATAGGAGAGGATCCAGAAACCACCTGTTTTTTTTCGGGGGGGTGGGGGTGTGGGGGGATGGAGTCTCTCTGTCACCCAGGCTGGAGTGCAGTGGCGCTATCTCAGCTCATTGCAACCTCTGCCTCCAATTCTCCTGCCTCAGCCTCCCAAGTAGTGGGGACTACAGGCGTGAGCCACCATATCCAGCTAATTTTTGTGTTTTTAGTAGAGACGGGGTTTCACCGTACTGGCCAGAGTGGTCTCAAACTCCTGACCTCAAGTGATCCGCCCACCTTGGCCTCCCAAAGTGCTGGGATTATAGACATGAGCCACCGTGCCTGGCCTCATCTGTTTAATAAGTTATGAAATTCTGATCCTTTGGCACTACCCACTTGAGTTCTGCTCCAGAATCCGTAACAATGGCTCAAGACATGGTGTTTCTTCGCTGATCCCTCTGCCTGGGGGATCATTTCTCTAAGTTCAAATACCATTCAGATTTCAGGCTAGTTGTCATTTCAGAGAGCCAATTCCTAATCTTCCAATTTAATTTAGCCACTTGTCACTCACTGTCTCATTACCCTATTGACTCTGCATTGCCTGTATCACTCTAGGATATTTTTGTTATTTGTTTATTGAACTGTGTATTTCCACTTGAATGGAGCTCAGTGAGAGCGAGATTTTCTCTCTCATTCACCGCTTTATTTCTAGCATCTGGAGTAGTGGCTTGGTCACAGTAGGCTTGCTCTGTCTGTCAATCATCCATCCATCCATCTGTCCGTCCGTCAGTCTGTCTGTCCATCCATCCATCTATCCATCTCCTGTCTAACTTATCTATATTTATTTCTCTCTCCCCTCCCTCCATCCATTCTATCTTCAAATGGCTTAGTCATGACATTATGAAATGAAGCAGTAAATCTACAGTAAATCTGCTTCTCCAGTTAGGATGTGGGAAGACCTTTTTTCCTTTATAGTTAATCACTTAACTCTTGATTTCTCTTTCAGATTCTTCCTTCTTGTATCAAGCCCAAGATACAACAGAATGCTGAGAAACTGAGCTTCAATTATAACAATCTGATTTTGAAAAATTATTTCTCACTGCCTCTGTGTTTTTGTTTTATTTTGCCAGGGCTCTGTGTATGAATGACAAGGATACCTTCAGCCAGCTCATTCTGGATGAATGAATGATTACACTAAGTGTCCTCCACATTCCTCTGTGGGTAAGTTTGAGGCACTTGTATATCTCAAAGGCTTTAAAAGTATATGTCAGTCTGTATTTCTTTGCTTAATCACCACATTCTCACGTAGCTCTGTTAATTGCACTTTGTATGAGAAGTTGAGTGGGGAAAGCCAAAGCAGGTTTGCTGAATGCTGATAATTGAGGTTCCTGCAAGCAACAGGGCTCCAGAGCTCAGTAGATTATTACAAAAGCACTTTAATTAGATATGCTGGATGGTCCACTCAGTGTGGAAAACGGGTATGCCAGGCCTCTCTGGGACCTTAGGTGGAGAGGATGCAGCCTGGGCAGCTTTAGTTTCCGTCCTTTTATGTGCCACATACTGATAGAGCACACACTTAAACTCCAGACCAAATAGGACCTCCTGCTTGAGAACGCAGAGAGCATATAATTTCTAATTGGAGTTGTAAGATCAGGTAAGCTCAGGGGACGGGGATTTTAGGAAGCCACTGAGGAAAGGTCAGATTCCAACTGTGACCTTAAGGCTGTTTCATTCCGACTGAGGTGTTTTACTGATTGGATGTGTTGGTGTCGCAGGTTAAGTACTAAAGCAGGAAAGCTGAACAGTTCCCCAGCGGCGTTTGAAATGGTGGCAGGTAGTTCCCTGGACTGTTTGCCGTGTCTGGAGTTCGTGCGTGCTTAGCTGAAGCACGCTCAGATGAACATAACCTTCCCAGGCATAACCTTCTGCTGTTTGATTTAGATTGCCCCAGCTTTTCTTGGCTGATTGCTTCATGCTTTTTGGGTTTCAGCTCAAAGTACTCCCTCTGAAGGACGCTGACCACCCAATCTAAAGGACGCCCAGCCACTGCTACCACGCCACGCTCTCTTAGTTGCCTGCAAAGTCCTTGTCCCTCACTGATCGTTTTCTCCTTGCATATTTATGTATCGGCTTGTTGTCTGTCTCCGCCTTCCTTAGAGCAGAAGCTCCACAAGGGCAGGAACCTTCTCTGCCTGGTTCCTCACCTGTCTCCAGAGCCCACAACAGCATCTGTTGCACAGCAGATATGTTTTGTCTGAATGTATGAGTTGAACGGTTAAATGAGGCTCATTGTGTAAATTGCTCAATGTCACATGGTGAGATACTTATTCACACTGGAGGATATTTAAAAGGTTTGTCTGTTTAAACATTTTTTTGAAATGTGAATTCCTCCCTCACATTATGATCAAATTTAACATTAGATTAGATGCAAACAGGAAGTTATCTAATATCTCTGGGTTTATTTATAAATATAATACATATTAAAGCTAGAAATTTTGATCCTAATTTTGGTAAGCTTTGTTTGTGTTGACCTTTTTCTTTTTTTTATCATCTACATTGGAATATCCAAAAGTAGTATCTAATTAGCCTTGGAGAGGTGTTTGTGCTTTAACGATGTTCAAAACTACTGCTGAAATACACTATTTGGAAAGCCTAAGGTCTACAGTTATTTAGAGTCAGACTGCCTGAGTTCTTTGAATCCTGTCTCTGACATTTTCTTGCTAGTGACCTGGAGTAGGTTATTATTGCTATTTTTTTGAGACAGCGACGCGCTCTGTTGCCCAGGCTGGAATGCAGTGACGTGATCTTGGCTCACTGCAACCTCGACCACCCGGGATCAAGCAGTCCTCCCACCTCAGCCTCCTGAGTAGCTGGGACCACAGGCCCACACCACTGGGCCCGGCTAGTTTTTTTTATAATTTGTAGAGACGAGGTCTTGCTATGTTGCTCAGGCTGGTCTCAATCTCCTGGCCTCAAGTGATCCGCCTGCCTCAGCCTCCCAAAGTGCTGGGATTACAGGCGTAATCCCACCCAGGATCAAGCAGTCCTCCCACCTCAGCCTCCTGAGTAGCTGGGACCATAGGCCCGCACCACTGGGCCTGGCTAATTTTTTAATAATTTGTAGAGGCGAGGTCTTGCTATGTTGCTCAGGCTGGTCTCAATCTCCTGGGCTCAAGTGATCCGCCCGTCTCAGCCTCCCAAAGTGCTGGGATTACAGGCATGAGCCACCATGCAAGCTGGGTAAGTTATTAACCTCTTGATGCTTCACTTTCTTCTTATGTAAAATGGGGATAATAAAATTTTCCTTGAAGAATGATTATGATTAAGTATGTGAGTATAGGGGTTATATAAATTTCTGCTGTTTTATTTAGTATATACTCAGATTTTTATATATTCAATATACAAATTAGGTTTAAAAATAATATATTTGCTCATGCCTGTAATCCCAGCACTTTGGGAGGCTGAGGCAGGCGGATCACCTGAGGTCGGGAGTTCAAGACCAGTCTGACCAACATGGAGAAACCCCGTCTCTACTAAAAATACAAAATTAGCCAGGCTTGGTAGTGCATGTCTGTAATCCCAGCTACTTGGGAGGCTGAGGCAGGAGAATCACTTGAACCTGGGAGGCAGAGGTTGTGGTGAGCCAAGATCGCACCATTGCACTCCAGCCTGGGCAACAAGAATGAAACTCTGTCTCAAAAAAATAAATTTTATATTTATATATTTGGGTAGTGGTCATTAAATGGTAACACAAGTTTGAAATTTGTTTTGTTTGCATGGAGAATTTGTTTTGCATTGAAAACAGCAGTCCATTCATGAGATCACCAGAAAGAATAGACTTGCTTATAATAAGTTATACTTCTAATAAGTAACAGTGACAATAAAACTGTTTGCAAACATGCCATTTTCTGTGTGTATAACAATATAGTTGTCTTTTTGGTATCAGACAGACCTGGTTTGAGTTTTCCAGTTGTGCTTGTTTTGTGGCCTTCAGTAAATTGCTAAACTTTGCTTGGCCTCAGTTTCCTCATCTGTAAAATAATGATAATAATACAGTTCAAAGAGGATTGCTGTGAGAATTAAATATGAAAATGTATGTCACACTCCTGGCATGGTGCCTACCTCACAGTGTAGGTGCTTAATAATCCTGAGTGTCCTTCTGTCCCTTTCTCCAGACCGTAGATGGAAGATGCACGTTGATAGCAAGAGGAAGGTGATTGCCATTGGGGAAGGTGTGGAAAGGGCGTCCTGTACATGATGATGAAGGGAGTGGGCTTAGCTTAGCAAGTGGTAAGCTTAGCAGGGAACCCAATTCCGACCTTGAAGTGTCTGAGCAGATGTCATGTGTAAGGGGAAGCAGGGATGCTGTGTCTGATCTGCCCCTGCAGGAAGCACTAGGACCGGCAGGTATCAGTAGTGAAAGGCCACTTTGGGTTTCACGTGAGGAAGACTTTCCTATAGAGCTGTGGAAAGATGAGATGGTGCCTCTTTGCAATAGTGAGCGTCTCAGGGCCGGATGTGGTGTCTGACGACTGGTTGGCTGCAGATCAAGAGCTCTGTAGAGAGGATTCCTCCAAGCACCAGGAAGGCAGACTACATGGCCTCTGCGGCCCTTTTCAATGCTTGTATGTCAGTGGCCCCCTTTCTAAATTCATGCCTGATTATCTGCTTTCCTAGGCCAAGTTGGTTGTATGCCCCCAGAAACCTAGGATTTAGCCTTCTGAAGTCAGGGAGTTGGGACTGCTTATTGTTTTAATTTAAAATGTTTTTTAGGATTGACAATTTTTGTGTTTGTATTTTGTCATTTGCAGCAGAGGCTGCAAACTGGTGAGTTTTGGGCTGGTTCTGGGCTGTGGATAACCTTTGTTTGGCCTAGAAAATGTGATCAGGGGATCACTGTGTTAACTAAATTTAAATTGATTGCCTGCGTTTAAAAACTAAGAATTTTACAAAAAAGCCAAATTTTTAGTGTTTCTTCAAAATGTGGGATTATCTGGCAACATTGGGTTCTACCTTCTCAGCTGGCAGTGGATAGCTGAAGCTGTGTAGATGGTGGCCTTTTGGTTGGGTCATGCGTCAGCTGGTTTGCCACAGTCCCCACCACTCCACACAGTCTTCCCATCATCAAATGTCAGTTGTCATTTTTCATTTACTTAAGTTGTTTTCTTTTAGTAGAATTAGGAGAAAACTGAAACAGTTATTTTTTCAATGTCCATAGTAGTAATGGAAAAACTAAAGATATTTTCATAGTTTCAAACTTCAAGAAAAAAATAGAAGAGGGTATATTTTGGATGTATGCCGAAGTATACTTGTAGAAGTCTAACTTGCAAACAAGTGGTTTCTGTGTCTTTAGACTGCATGACTCAGTCAGGCCTGCTTCACTCAGACTTTTTTTTTTTTTTTTTTTTTTTGAGACAGGGTCTCACTGTTACCCAGGCTGGGGTGCAGTGGCGCTATCTCAGCTCACTGCAGCTTCAAACTCCTGGACCCAAGCAATCTGCCCACCTCAGCCTCCTGAGCAGCTGGGATTATAGGCATGTCCCACCATACCTGGCTATATCTATGGTTTTTTTTTTTTTGTTTTTTTGTTTTTTTGTTTTTTTTTGTAGAGATGAGGTTTCACTATGTTGCCCAGGCTGGTCTTGAATTCCTGAGCTCAAGTGATCCGCCCGCGTCAGCCTCCCAAAGTGCTGGGATTACAGGCATGAGCCACCGTGCCTGGCTTCGCTCATATATTTAAATAGCTCTGAAGGTATCTGAGTGTGACCCCTAATCTGGACAGTTAAATTTTCCCTCTGTCTTCAGATGTGACTCATTTCCTCCCTCTTTTTCAGTTCTCCATGGTCATGGAGAAGGAGTTGCCTGGCAGCATATCTTTTTTGCCTTCCCTAACATCCACTGTGGCCTCCTGGCTTGGTGAAATGGGGACAGTGTGTAATTTGCACACGTCTGTGATCTATGGAACTAAGTTCCATTCTGCTTTTTCCAGTGGATCCCCAATCCTCCCTAGACTTCATGGCCCCAAACAGATGGAGCCTGTAACCTCGTTGACTCTGAGTGATATAACCGAGGGAGTGGGCTCAATGCCTATTAAGGCACAGATTGAAGTTTTAGGACTCTGTTCTTTGTGCATTTTGATGTTTAGTACGAACAGAATCTGGCTTTGTTTTGCTTTACAAGAGTGATTCTGGCTTCATTGTGAAGAACTTGGCTGGAGAGAGAGCAGGGAAGATCCGTGGTAATTAACTTCAGTTTTTTGTAGGGTGGTTGGGTGGAAGAGAGGAGTAGGATGTGTGTTGATAATGATGGAAAGACTGATTAGTGGAATTTTTAGAATGACTGATTTAAAGTTGCTGGAAGGAGTTCTCATCTATCAACTGGTTATTTACTGATGGAATGTGCCCCCTAACAGATCTGTGAACTTTCCGTCACTCAATGTATTTAGGTAAATGAGAGTGGCCCCATCTGTCAGGATGCTGTAGGAGATTCCTAAATTAGAGGGAAGGTTGGGCTAGATAGATGACCTCTCTGGTCTCTTTGGAACTCAAATTCAATTATTCTCTGAATTAAACTTATTAGGAATCTTCCAGCTTGAACAATTTTACTTCAGTCCATAAAGAGAAAATATTATGAGTTGACTGAGAGGCTGAATATAACATTATAACTTTAACTACAATTAGATCTGGGCAGATTACTTGCACTTTCTCCAATGTTCCAATATAACCTTCAAAAATGTTGTAAACAGATGTACCCAGTAGCTAGTATTTATAAGCCGGGATTTTACAAGCATATTTCCTGAAGGATTTTTTTTCTACCAAAAACTTTGTTTTACCTTAGCCAAAACTCATTGTGTAGGTTTCTTTTTGGGTAGCGTAATAATACAGATGTTATCATTTACATAAAAGTATTATCCGTTACTCTTTGTAAAGCATTTTATTTAATTTCAAAACTTAGGATTTTGTACATTATCATTCATTGCTGTTTGTTAAGGTGTATTTAATTTGGATATAATGACCTACAGAAAAAGGTCACTTTAAAGAAAAACTTTTTAAAAATGATTTTTAAATGATGCATAATCGATGTACATAGTTCTGGGGTATGAATGGTAATTCAGCACGTTCATATAATTTGTAAAGATCAAATCAGTGTAATTGGGATGCCCATTACCTTAAATATTTGTGTTTTCTTCATGTTAGAAACATTAGAACTATTCTTTTATAGCTTGTTTGGAACTTATAATACATTATTGTAAACTAGAGTCACTCTACTGATCTAACACTAGGTTTTATTTCTTCTATCAAACAGTATATTTGAACCCATTAATCAACCTGTCTTCATCCATTCCTTCCTACCCTTCCCAGCCTCTGGCAACCACCAATCTACTCTCTACTTTCATTAGACTTACTTTTTTTCTTTTTTTTATCTCCCACATGTAAGTGAGAACATGTGATATTTGTCTTTCTGTGCTTGGCTTATTTCACTTGATGACCTCCAGTTTCACCCACATTGCTGCAAATGACAGGATTTCATTCTTTTTATGGCTGAATAATAATCCATTATGTATATATACCACATTTTCTTGACCCATTCATCTCTTGATGGGTACTTAGGTTGATATATTTTGGCTTTTGTGAATAGTGCAGTAATAAACATGGGAGTGCAAATACCTCTTTGATATATTGGTTTTCTTTCTTTTGGATCTATACCCACTAGTGGGATTGCTGGATCACATGGTAGTTCTATTTTTAGTTTTTTGAGGAAACTCCAAACCGTTCTCCATAGTGATTGTACTAATTCGCATTCCTTCAAAGAGTGTACAAGGGTTTCCCTTTCTCTACATCCTCTCTAGCATCTGTCATTGCCTGTCATTTTTATAAAAGCCATTTTCACTGGGGTGAGATGATATCTCATTGTAGTTTTGATTTGCATTTCTCTGATGATTAGTGATGCTGAGCATTTTTTCATGTACCTGTTGGCCATTTGTATGTCTTCCTTTGAGAAATATCAGTTCAGATCTTTTGCCCATTTTTAATTGAATTATTTGTTTTTTGCTGTTGAGTAGTTTGAGCTCTTTATATATCATGGTTACTAATCCCTTGTAGATAGGTAGTTTGCAGATATTTTCTCCCATTTTGTGGGTTGTCTCTTTAGTTTGTTGATTGTTCCCTTTTCTGTGCAGAGCTTTTTATTTTTATTTTTTTGAAACAGGGTCTTCTTCTGTCACCCTGACTGGAGTGCATTGGTGCAATCACAGCTCACTGCAGCCTCAAACTCCTGGGCTCAAGCCATCCTCCCATTTCAGTCTCCTGAGTAGCTGGGAATACAGGCACTCACCATCATAGCTAGCCACTTTTTAAATTTTTTGTAGAGAGAGGTCCCGTTCTGTTGCCCAGGCTGGCCTCACACACCTGGCCTCAAGCGATCCTCCTGCCTTGGCCCCCCAAAGTGCTGGGATTACAGGTGTGAGCCACCATGCCTAGCCTGCAGGAGCTTTTTAGCTTGATGTAATTCCATGTATCGATTTCTGCTTTTATGCCTGTGCTTTTGAGGTCTTAGACAGAAAATCATTGCCCAGACCAATGTCCTGAAGCATTTCCCAAATGTTTTCTTCTGGCCGTTTCATATTTTCAGGTCTTAGATTTAAGTCTTTAATCCATTTTGACTTGATTTATTGTGTATAGTGAGAGATGGAGTCTAATTTTATTCTTCTGCCTATAGTTAACAGTTTTCCCAGCACCATTTATTGAAGAGACTGTCCTTTCCCCATTGTATATTCTTGGTGCCTTTGTCAAAGATGAGTTGGTTATAAATGTGTGAATTTTTATCTGGATTCTCTGTTCTGTTCTACTGGTGTATGTGTTTTTTTGTTTTTCTTTCTTTCTTAAGCCAGTACCATGCTCATTTGGTTGTTAGAGCTTTGCAGTCAATTTTGAAGTCAGGTATAGTTTGATGCCTCCAACTTTGTTCTTATTGATCTATACCTTTGGCTATTCAGGGTCTTTTGTGGTTTTACATAAAGTTTAGAACACCTTTTTTTTCCTATTTTTGTGAGGAATGTCATTGGTATTTTGATAGGGATTGCATTGAATCTGTAAATTGCTTTGCGTAGTATTGCCATTTTAACAATATTAATTCTTCCAAGCCGTGAGCATGGAATATCTTTCCATTTTCTAATGTGTCCTCTTTGGTTTATTTTATCAGTGTGTTACAGTTTTTATCGCATGGATCTTTTACTTCTTTGGTTAAATTGCTTCCTAGATATTTTACATTCATTGTAGCTATTGTAAATGGGATTGCCTACTTGATTTCATTTTCATATTGTTCGCTGTTGGCATATATAGATGCTACTGATTTTGTATGTTTATTTTGTATCCTGCAATTTTGCTGGATTCATTTATCAGTTCCAACAGTTTTTGGTGGAGTCTAGATTTTTCTAAATATAAAACCATGTCATGTGTGAACAAAGGCTACTTTGAACAAAAGGGTAATTTGACTTCTTCCTTTCCAATTTGGATGCTTTTTATTTCTTTCTCTCGCCTAATTGCCCTGGCCAGGATTTCCAGTACTATGTTGAATAAAAGTGGTAAAAATGGAAAAGAACAACTTTTATGAAGAATTAGTTTTAAATCCACATTTTTATGTCACAATATTTGCACTCTTGTGAAAGTAATTAATTGGTCATTTGATGATATTATTGGGGCTTGCTTGTTATGTAAGTAACACTTGGAGTTTATAAATGTACCATAAGGCCGGGTGCAGTGGCTCACGCCTGTAATCCCAGCACTTTGGGAGGCTGAGGCGGGCTGATCACCTCAGGTCAGGAGTTTGAGACCAGCCTGACCAACACGGAGAAACTCCATCTTTACTAAAAATACAAAATTAGTCGGGCGTGGTGGCACATGCCTGTAATCCTAGCTACTTGGGAGGCTGAGGCAGGAGGATTGCTTGAACCCGGGAGTCAGAGGTTGCGGTGAGCCAAGATTGCGCCACTGCACTCCAGCCTGGGCAACAAGAGCAAAACTCCATGTCTCTCTTTCTCTCATCTATATGTGTATATATATATGTGTGTGTGTGTGTGTGTGTGTGTGTGTGTGTGTGTGTGTAATAAAATATCTCATTTCCAAGATAATTGACTGCATTAAAATTTATTTGTGCATTTAATGCCTTTGAAACACTTAGAAAAAGTTTATATTAGGGAATTTAGATTTGCAATGGCTTTAAAGCAATACATACCATGCTAGTATTGCGTTTTGAATTTTCTCAAAATTGACTATTGATTTTGAAGACATCTTCAGTTTGCTTTTAAAAATGTTAAAAATTTATCTTGTTCTTCATTTTGTTTTCATTTAATCCGTAGCCATTGAGTAATTAATGATGGTGTGGTATAAGGCTCACAAACGTGATGCATAATAATTGTGGGAGAGGAAAATTACCAGAACTTTGAGGCCCAGTAACATTGCTTCATAACAGTGTTGTGAGGTGATAGCATTGAAGTTATTAACGCTATGGCTACCAGTGTTTTCTGTTCATTTGTTTGTTATATTTAGGATTTGTCTGGGTTTATCTGAATCAGTTAATATGCAGTATAGTCATGTATCACTTGACAATGGGGAAAGTTCTGAGAAAAGTGTAAGATGATTTCCTCATTGTGTGAACATCATAGAGTGTACTTACATGAACCTAGATGGTACAGCCTACTACACACCCAGGCTATATGGCATAGCCTATGCTCCTAGGCTGCAAACCTGTATGGCATGTGACTGTAGTGAATACTGTAGGCAGTTGTAACACAATGGGAAGTATTTGTGTATCTAAACATCTCTAAATAGAGAAAAGGTACAGTAAAAATATGGTATCATAATCACGTGGAACCACCGTATATGCAGTCTGTCGTCGGCTATTACACTGTGATGCTGCACATGACTGTATTAAGTTTTTTAACTGAGACTGGTGGGTTCTCTTCATCAGCATCTGTGAGATATGCTGTCTTTTGACTGCGTATGATCATTATGAGACAGGCAGAGCAGAAGTTTGGGTCGTCTGACTTTGTGGCTGTGAGACCTTGACTCACAGTAGCAGGTGCTGGCGCTTCTCCCACAGTGTGGAGCATAGAGCAGGAGGCAGGAGCAGGTGGCCAGCTGCCAGCACGGCGGCACTGCAGTGTTGCCTTGTTGAAGATGCCGGCTTGGAATATGAAATGCTAACGGAGAATGGTGGGGGATCTTTAAGCAGAAACTCTGTGAAAATTTTGCTTGATGGGCAGTGATCGCATGTGGAGTGGCTTATTTAAAATAAAAGGGATTGCTTGGCTTCTGACAACAGAGATGTAGAGTGCAACAAACACTGTTCTTCCTTTCACATTTACCACCACTGCCACCATCACTGTCACCTCCCATTCATTAATTCGTTCATTCATGCATGCAGTTACTTAACATGTATTTATTGGGTATTCACCATGTGCCAGGCGCTTCTTAAAGTCCTGGACTTTCAACAGTAAACAATTTAAACAAAATCCCTGCCTTCCTGCCTTGTGGAATTAACATTCTAAGAGGCAGACCTTATGTTAAACAATTTACATCTATTGTTTTACATGATCCTTACAATAGCTTGGGAGGCAGACAAAATTATCCCCATTTTACAGATTAAGAAACTGAGGGTTAGAGAAATTAAATGATGTGTCCAGTGTCACATACGAAACTGAGGCGCAGAGAAATTAAATGATGTGTCCAGTGTCATACAGTGGGATCTGATGTCACGCCAGAGGGACTCTAAATTGTGGGCCCCGAGTTGTTTTGCTAGCCTCTTAGGAGCAATGTCTGAGCGGCCAATGAATTGCACGTCAGTTGTACATTTGCGTGGGTTTTCAGCATCACACGTGGGAGGTAAACCTTCACACCACCCCTGTTTTAGATATGAAGGCCAGTCCTACCCGCCCTCACTGTATTCTCTGGGCAAATTTGGAAACCTTTGGTTTTAGAAACAGACTTCCTAAATTTGGGCCTTTTGATCAAATGGGGAGAAAAATCAGCTCCCCCGGTAATGTTTCTGAGGATCTCAGGATTCTCAGGCAGATACTTGGTGTGCCTCATTTTCTTCTAGTCTTGCCTTCATCTGGGACATTTTTGCTACCGCATTTCTCAAGGTCTGTGTTCCTTCAGCCTACGTTATTCAAAGTATTGCTTTTTCATCAGAAACAGTGTGGGGAAGCCCTCTTCAGCACATGAATATTGCCGAGGTTTTTTGCCCATTAATGTAATTACATCCAAGGTGCACATTTACGTTTGTGAGGGATTATTTAATCTTTTGTAATCCTGGTTGGGTAAAAGTAATTTATATTTTTAATCTCTACTTATGATTGTTATTCTTTTATTTTTACTTTTCTTCCTTGACTATAGCTAAGCAGTAAGGAGTGGTGCTTGGTCAGATGTTCTGTCAGAAGCATTCTGTGTTTGACCTGAGAAGTAAAGAATATGGAAGGAGTTTTTATTGTTTTCTTCTTTGAATTCTAAGCAGAGAGGTTATTTCTGATAGTTCACATTACTTTAGAACATTTATTTATTTATTTATTTAGAGACAGAGTCTTGCTCTGTTGCCCAGGCTGGAGTACAGTGGTGCAATCTCGGCTCACTGCAGCCTCTGCCTCTCGGGTTCTCCTGCCTCAGCCTCCCGAGTAGCTGAGACTACAGGTGGACACTGCCACGCCTGGCTATTTTTTGTATTTTTTTAGTAGAGATGCGGTTTCACCATGTTGGCTAGGATGGTCTTGATCTCCTGACCTCATGATCTGCCTGCCTTGGCCTCCCAAAGTGCTGGGATTACAGGCATGAGCAACCGTGCCGGCCTTTTTTTTTTGAGACACAGTCTCACTTTGTCGCCCAGGCTGGAGTAAGTGCAGTGGCACTATCTTAGCTCATTGCAACCTCTGCCATCTGGGTTCAAGTGATTCTTCCACCTCAGCCTCCCAAATAGCTAGGGCTACAGGTGCGTGCCACCATGCCTGGCTAATTTTGGGGCAGAAATGGGGTATCACTGTGTTGGCCAGGCTGGTCTTGGACTCCTGACCTCAAGTGGTCTGCCTGTCTTGGCCTCCCAAAGTGCTGGGATTACAGGTGTGAATCACTGCATCTGGCCTAGAACTTATATTTTTAATGTCAGTTTTTCTTATAATTATTTATAGATTAGAACATGTTATTTACATTTCTTATTTGTGATAGGCATTATGATTGTCAACCCCACTTTATGATGAAGGATATGGGATTCAGGAAGCCTCTAAGTTTTGAAGAGATGAATTGCTAGCCCAGATCTACTGGTTTTGAAGCCTGAGATGTTTCCACTATTCCCTTATTTTTATTAATAATAATTTGTCATGTGATAGTGGCTCTCAAACTTTTCATTCTGGGGGTGTTCCAATGCCCCATCTTATCATTTTATATTCTCCAGCTCTTCTCTGGATAGGAACAGAAACCCTCAAGAATATATCTTTGCATGCATGTGTGCACATGCAGTCTAGGATATTCAGGTTTTTTATTACAGTCAGGTTTGCAACAATTTTTGCATAGTTTTTGACTAGGTATTAGTAAAACATGGTGTTTTTTATGGATTAATTTATTGTGTGTGTGTGTGTGTGTGTGTGTGTGTGTGTGTGTGTGTGTATACATATATTTTCCTCCCAACATTTTATTAAGAAAATTTGCAAGAATATAGAAAAATCAAAAGAATTGTATAGTGAACACCCATAAACCCACCACTTGATTCTATAATTGTTAATAGCTTGCCATTTTTGCTTTTACATGGGTCATTTTACATTGTATCCTTCAAAATAGAATACTTCGTAAGTGGTAATTTACATTTTTCTCAGAGATCTTTGCCAAGGAATTTAATTTTAGATGCCTGTTAACACATATGTCCTGTTATATTATTATCTCAGAATAAAGCATTAGAAAGATCAAGTCTAGTTTTATGATTTGGAACTCTCTGGTTTTTGTAATTTTAGGATGGAGAACTAAATTGACAGTATACGACTGTAGTTGGGCAGTCTAAAGAACTTGAGAAACCTTACATAGTTTGAAACCCCAAGTGACTTTATAAATTCATAGAACTAAAGTCATTTGGGTGACCTCAGTAATAAAAAATGAAATCAGACAATGCAAAACCATCGGAAATATCTGAGGAATGTTGGAGATAATTCATGTGTACAGGAGGTTCTGGCAGAGAAGGGATCTACATATAAAATGTATCAAAAGGTCAGAATTGTTTTAAGAAAACCTAGAAGCAGGAATTAGTGGCCGGGCGCGGTAGCTCACGCCTGTAATCCTAGCACTTTGGGAGGCTGAGGCGGGTGGATCACCTGAGATCAGGAGTTCAAGACCAGCCTGGCCAACATGGTGAAACCCTGTCTCTTCTAAAAATACAAAAATTAGCCGGGTGTGGTGGTGCATGCCTGTGATCCCAGCTACTCGGGAGGCTGAGGCAGGAGAATCACTTGAACCCAGGAGGCGGAGGTTGCGGTGAGCCGAGATAGCACTATTGCACTCCAGCCTGGGCAACAGAGTGAGACTCTGTCTCAAAAAAAAAAAAAAAAAAAAAAGGAATTAGAGTAGGGGCATGCAAATATTTCCATGCAATTAATTGTTCTTCTGATCTTTTTTTTGCTCTCTGATACATATCTCTTTAAATTTCCTTCTCCTGCACAATTTTTCTTCCCTTTGTATCACAGAGTCCCTTTTCTGTCTTAATGTGGAAGGCTTTCATTTACACTGGCTGTTATTTTATTTTATTTTACCTATTTTAGTAACAGAAATGAGGCTGCTGGGTCTGAAGGAAGCAGAGCTCATGATTTAATAGCATTCATTCTTCTTCTGTATTTACCTCACACACACACACCCCCCCCCCCACACCCCCACACACCCCCACACACCAAATTAACATTTTGGGAATTCCCGTGTTTTGTGTTATGTGACTTGGCCTCCGTGGCAACCTCTGACTTCAGTCCCGGGGCTTGTGGTTACTTGGGTGGTACATCCTTGTGCTGCCGCCTGTTGCTGGCCAGCTCTGTGACCTTTTGCAAGTCACTTAAGGTCTCTGTTTCTTTATCTGTAATTCCAGAGGGTTGGACTAGGGAATTTTGCAGGTTTATCCCACCAGCACTAAAAATTCCCTGTTCTGTGTTCACATTAACATTTTTTCTCTCCTCCCTGCGCTTCTCCCCTGACCCCGCCCTGACTTAAATGTTTTGTGCTCAGGCTAATTTTTATAACTATTACACTGATGGTCTTCAATAATGGCTCTTATTATTGGCCAATTAAGATTAGAAAGCATGGCCGGCACGGTGGGTCACACCTGTCATCCCAGCACTTTGGGAGGCCAAGGTGGGCAGATCATGAGGTCAGGAGATCGAGACCATCCTGGCTAACACAGTGAAACCCCGTCTCTACTAAAAATACAAAAAATTAGCTGGGCGTGGTGGCGGGCGCTTGTAGTCCCAGCTACTAGGGAGGCTGAGGCAGGGGAATCGCTTGAACCCGGGAGGCGGAGGTTGCCGTGAGCCGAGATCGTGCCTCTGCACTCCAGCCTGGGCAACAGAGAGAGACTCTGTCTCAAAAAAAAAAAAAAATTATAAAGCATACCTTCAAGTGTATAATAACTTCATGTGGAAAAAGATTGTGTGTGTGCCTATATGGGTAGATGGATGTATGTGTATGTAAAATACAGTTTTCATCCAGATAAGGAATTAAAGGCTTATCTGTCTATGGTAGAGGCTGGTCTGTAATATTAGGTAAAAATCTTTCTGTTGGATATGTAGATCCTTTTTCTTTTGAGATAGGGTCTCAGTCTGTCACCCAGGCTGGAGTGCAGTGGTGCAGTCATGGCTCACTGCAGCCTTGACCTCCCCAGGCTCAATAGATCCTCCCACCTCAGCTCCCAAGTAACTGGGACTACTGGCATGCACTACCACACCTGGCTAATTTTTTGTATTTTTAGTAGAGATGGGGTTTCACCGTGTTAGCCAGGATGGTCTCAATCTCCTGTCTTGCTCTGTCTCCCAGGCTGTAGTGCAGTGGCACAGTCTTGGCTCACTGCAGCCTCTGCCTCCCGAGTTCTCCCACTTCAGCCTCATGAGTAGGTGAGACTATAGGTGCATGCCACCACGCCCAGCTAATTTTTGTATTTTTAGTAGAGACGAGGTTTCACTGTGTTGGCCAGGCTGATCTCAAACTCCTGGCTTCAAGTGATCTGCCCGCATTGGCCTCCCAGAGGCTGGAATTATGGCATGAGCCATCGCCCCTGGCCCTGGCTAATTTTTTTATTTTTACTTTTTGTAGAGATAGGGTCTCCCTATGTTGTCCAGGGTGGTCTTGAACTCCTGGGCTCAAGTGATCTGCCCACATCAGCCTCCCTTGTAGCTTGGACCACAGGTGTGCACTCCCAGGCTTGGCTAATTTTTTTTTTTTTCTGTTAGCTAATTGTTTAATTTTTTTCTGGTAGAGACAGTCTCCCTATGTTGCCCAGGCTGGTCTCCTAGGCTCAAGTGATCCTCCCACCTCAGCCTCCCAAAGTGTTGGAATCACAGGCATGAGCCACCGTGCCCAGCCTTTGTTATTTTTAAAATGATGAAGGTATTACCTTAAAAATCTCTTGCCACATGTTTGTCCGGGATAATTTGTGTATTCACATACTTAGAATATGTACATTTTGAAAACCTTTGATTAAGTGGTTTTCTTCTATAAAATATGAAGGTTTGTGATCCTGTTCTCCTATTCATCATCCCGCCTCCACAATAACATAAAAGATCTGAAAATGCTGCTTTATCTTTTGGGTATTTTTATTTATTTTATTTTATTTTATTTTATTTTATTTTATTTTTTTGAGAGAGAGTCTCTATGTATCCCAGGCTGGAGTGCAGTGGCGTGATCTCGGCTCACTGCAACCTCTGCCCCCTGGGTTCAGGCAATTCTCCTGTCTCAGCCTCCTGAGTAGCTGGGATTACAGGCGTGTATCACCACACCTGGCTAATTTTTGTAGTTTTAGTAGAGACAGGGTTTCACCATATTGGTCAGGCTGGTTCCGAACTCCTGACCTCAGGTGATCTACCCTCCTCGGCCTCCCAACGTGCTGGGATTATAGGCGTAAGTCACCATGCCCAGCCTTTTTGGGGTATTTTTAAAATGTAAGGTCTTTCATCAAAGGATATAGCAAGACCCCAAAACACTCTGAACCTCTGCTGTATATAACTTTTATTTAAGATAATTTAATGGTTCATTTTTAATAAAAAAGCACCACGTTGGGGTAACAAGGACTTCCAATGTACAAGACTGTAGTTCAGCCAACTTAAAAATGAAAGAACTCTAGCAAGGAACACAAGTAAGTTTATACCCGATATTTTGCAAATCATGATATTATTTTTAAGGGCCTCTCTTGAGGCAGGGTTTTTATGATCATAACATTCCAGCTGTGGTTTTGGAGGCAGAATGTTTACTACTGCTCTAAATGCAAGGATGGTAGGTGTGTATTCTTACTGCTAAAGGGCTTAAAAAAGAAGCTGAGGCTCCCTTCAAGTGAGTAAACCTTTATTCGGCTGACTTGGGAGCCGTGTTCCTATGGAACTTCGGTGGTAATTATGGAATGCAGGCCCAACAACAGCCCAGTCATGGGCGAGCCTGGCCTCTCCGAGGCATGATGGCAGGCTGTCCCGGCTAATGGCTTCAGGCAGCCCATGGAAAACCACTTTCTGGTTAAGTCTGCATCATACTGTTCCACCAATGGAAAAAATTGAACATGATGAGGGTGTGTAGCTAGCAGACAAAAATATATCCAGCATTGCACAGGATCTGTTTTTAGCTCTCAACGGCTGAGCATTTGAAGTGTTAGACACTGTTTCCTGGCTTACCATGAGCAGAAGGAAGAGTGAGTTTGTGGATGTGTATATAGACTCTAGCTTTGTGAAACTTTTCTTATTAACGAACAGACCCCGAGAAATACTGGCTACATCCAAAGTTCTGGCAAAGGTAAGGTTATAAATGTTTACTTCCCCTCTTCTGGAGTTGAGACGTAATTTTACATGTGAGATAAAAATGTTTCTCAAAATGCTCCCACCGGCAATATATAAGTGCTGACTTATTTTTGTCTGACATTATTTTGTACTTAGGCAGCACACGTTGCTGTGCATAAGGGAATTGTTGCCTTTAAATTGGAGTGTCTGTGTGCTTTCAAACACCTATTGGTGATTTATTGCAGTTGCCTGCGCCGTTTTACTAATTAACTCTCCAAAATTTGTACGTATTGTATGGATTTATTTTTCCTGATGGTCTCAAGAAAGTACCACTTCTCAGTGTGATCATGTTAAAGCATTGATGACTATTACTTTACCAGTTAATTTTTTCAGAGTAGAAAGGGAAATTAAGATGTGGCAGAGATTGTATTTTGCAGTTTTTGGGTTATTATATCATCTCATCAGGGCTTAATTTTTAGCTGAGTGGGCTATTTGGCTTAAGAGTTTCTTTTCAAACTTGTAATTTGACTTTCGCTGTTTAGTATCGTTTGTCTTTTTGTCTTAAACTTTATGAAAAAGAAATGGAATCCCTTGTAATCTTGGGAGGGGGGTACTTGTTTAAGAGGAGTGATTGATTCATATTCTAGTCCATTAGAGGCTGCTCATTCATTAGGGTATTTGAAACACCAGAAGCACAAGTACTGCTGAACGTCTGGTGTGTGCTCATCAGCAGGGGCCGAGGAGCCCTGGCTTTGGTGTAGTTCTTCCTTGGCTTTACATTAATTTGGCCAAGCATGTAATTCGCAGAAAATTGGTAGGTGGAGAGACAGAAATAGGGAGCTTTATTGAAGTCATTGTAACTTACAGGATTATTTATAGAATTTCTGGAAAGTAAGGGTACGGGTGAACAGCTGCTGGAGTTTTTCCTAACAGGTTTAAACATTTTGTTGTGGCCTTTTGTCACACTTAGGGATTCTAAAATTTTATACTTTCAGCATTATGAGGTTATGAATTATTTTCAGGCAGGCTACGTGGGTTCGTTTTCAGCTGTGCTGGGTCAGGGCTGTCATCTCCATCGGTGTATTGGGCATCCCCCATGTGTTCACTTCCTTTACAGACACGTCTTTAGGGATGGAGGAATGTGAGTGTGGTTCAGGCAGGTTACAGTTCATAGAAAGATTGGTCATATTTTATTGATGACTTTTCCTTTTCATCTAAAAAATGCGGCTCTGACAGAGCCAGCAAGCACTGAGAGCAGGAACAGTGCACTGACCGCCGCCTTCTCCGGTCACATTAACACTTGTCACCTACTTTGATTTTTGCCAGAGCTTGTGGACAGAAAGTGAAGTCCATTGAAGAACTTAATGACTCAAATTCATACTGACCAGACCGTAAATAGTGTTTTGAATGCAAATAGATAACACCTTTTTTCAATACTTTAGTGCAGAGGGAGTGACTTTCCAAAGCCCTCTCATTAGATCAGGCCTGCAGGAAGGATGCCTGGAAGTGCGAGATAAGCGTTAGGCTCCTTGTGAAGAGATTAGTTTTCCAGTGGGTAAGTGGGTCCTTCACTTACCCATTAAGTAAAACAGATGATTCTGTCTTGGTGGTCTGAGATTGTGTTTGAGCAGAGCCATGCTTTCTTTTGCAAAATTAGTTAAGGGTCTTTGCAGCTTCTTCCCACCAGAAGTATTGAATAAAAAACCACAAAGCGTAAATATCTGATGGGGCACTTTACTATATGTGTATGTGCCTCTAGGTTTGACTCACTTTGTAAGATTCCCTTATGTGATTATAATAAATCAGGTTAGTGAGATCCCTTAGTTCAACTTTTTCTTTTTTGTTTTTTGTTTTGAAACAGAGTCTCACTCTGTCGCCCAGGCTGGAGTGCAATGGCGCGATCTCAGCTCACTGCAAGCTCCGCCTCCTGGGTTCACACCATTCTCCTGCCTCAGCCTCCCGAGTAGCTGGGACTACAGGCGCCCACCACCACACCCGGCTAATTTTTTTGTATTTTTGGTAGAGATGGGGTTTCACCGTGTTAGCCAGGATGGTCTTGATCTCCTGACGTCATGATCCGCCCGCCTCGGCCTCCCAAAGTGCTGGGATTACAGGTGTGAGCCACTGCACCCGGCCTTCAGCTTTTAGATTTAGAAAAATACAGGCCGTGAAGAACAAGGTCTATTTGGACATTTTTTAAAGGAATAATTTGCATCTTTTTTGTTTTGAAATTAAGTGTGCCTTCTACATGAAGGTAATAACAGCTTTACTAGAAGGGCTAGAAAAAAGATAAAGGTATGGAATAGAAAGAAATAGCAGCAGTATTAAAAACAGTAAAAAGTAATAATAATGGTAGTAGATAAACCTGAATGTCTGACTGTTGAATTCTATTAACAGGGTGGAATGTCTTTTTATTACTCAGTTCTACTTAAAACAGGCTTACAAATATCAGGAGGCTTCAACATCAGTGTCTCAGGAAACATATTGAACACTCATTTTTCAGGTCTTTATAGTCCATAGTATTGTAGAGATAGAACGTTAGAGCTGAAAATGGACCTTAGGCAGTTTTTCAAAGGAGACAATTGAAGAACCACAGAACTGAAGCGACTTGTCCGAAGCCACAGAGATGGTTAGTTACCCAGCTGGAAGGAAATTCCAGGTATCCTGTTAGTCTTTTTCTTACTCTACCTGTTCCTTAATTGAGGAAACTTTGGCACATCCTGATGTATCTTAGATAATTGATAGAGACTTGTGTATGCATACACATGTGTGCAAATATATACAGACAAATGCACAGACTTTTTTTTTTTTTTTTTTTTTAAGACAGAGTCTCACTCTTTTACCCAGGCTGGAGTGCAGTGGTGTAATCTCGGCTCACTGCAACCTCCACCTCTGGGTTCAAGGGACTCTCCTGCCTCAGCCTCCCTAGTAGCTGGGATTACAGGCAACTGCCACTACGCCCGGCTAATTTTTTTTTGTATTTTTAGTAGAGACGGGGTTTCACCATGTTGGCCAGGCTGGTCTTGAACTCCTGATCTCAAGTGATCCGCCCGCCTTGAACTCCCAAAGTGTTAGGATTACAGGCATGAGCCACCACGTCCAGCCGACATGCACATACATTTCCTTTCCTCCCTTTGTCCATCCTTCCTTCTTCCTTTCCTCTTTCTTTTCTTTTTTTTTTTGTTGTTCTTTCTTTCATCTATTTACTTACCTGTTTACCAAACGTGTTTGGTAACCTGTGTGTTGGTTTGGTTTACCTGTCTGTTTAAAGCTCTAGTAGAGAAAAGGGCTTTTGCTTTTCCCATAGCCTAGTCAAATTCAAAGCTGTACATTCAATCTGTGACCATCAGCTCTCTGACTGTTGCCAGAGAGAATTTTAGGTGCACACATGTTACCCTAACCTATGTGATAAGACAGGTTTGATTAGACTTCATCTGTCAGTCTCTTCCTGGTTCAGTCTTAGATTGGTTTTCTTTGGTTTATAGTCACATTCCAATAGAAGACTGTTTAGGTTTTGTTACTTCTGTGCCTTACAAAAAAGAAGCCCTGGAAGGGAACAGAAACACAGCAGATGAGGCCTGGCTTTAGTGCCAAGGTGATGTAAGGCACTTTTGGAAAAGTAAAGTTTACACAAAAAGTGATAGGCCAAGTTATCATTTACACTTAAGGAAAGGGATGCAGTGGGCTCCACAGATAATGTCAGGATGAAGTTGATTCAGGGTGTTCCTAGGACTTGAATAAAGGTTCAAAAATCCTGGGTATTGTTCAAGCACTGGAAAGTGAGAATAATCCTTATCCTGCCTTTGTGCTTGACCCTGACCCATCTCTATAGTCGCAGAATTGCTAGAGTCGGATTTCTAAAATGGAGATGTGGGGAAGGGCTAAGGAGAGACAGAGTTTGCAAGCTTTTAAAGACAAAAGCTAGAATCCATATGATTAAAGGCAATGAGAAGAAACCAAGTGGAGAGAATAAAGACAGGCTCTTTTTCGAGTTACCCTTGGCCACCCCTGGAAGGTGGAAAAAGGCATCTTAAAGATAAATGAAAGGAAGCTTTATACACAGACACAGTAGTGAACCGAGGAAACTCATGACATTAGGAGGCACTGGAGAGTAAAGCGCTTCATGGAAAGTGTCCATATATTCTTGGAATACACACACACACACACACACACACACACACACACACACACTCTCCGTTGAAAATTGATAGGATGATCACAAATGTATCCAAACAGCCAGACAAGTTAACTATAAAACAACAACAATAACAAGCCCCCTGAAATAACAGGAAACTAACAATAACCATCACTTACCTTTTTAAGAAATGTCACAGTGGGAAAAAAATAGAAATTACAAGACAACACAGTGACATGCAGGTAATGAAGGAGTTTCTCACTGGAGCTCTTGTATCCTGACACCCTACTGCATGTATGTGATGTTGGTGCCTCTCAAACGTTTCTGAAGTTTCTGTGATAGGAGGGGCAGTTGCTCTAGAGCCACCTCCTCTTGTGCGTGCAATTCCTCTCCCTTTGACCCATTCTAGGACATTTTAGGAATGGCCCCTCTCTCTGCACCACATCACATTTTCCCTTTAATTCTCATTGCGTGCTGGAATTTTTCCTGAAGATACACACATAGACAATAAATGAAGCTCTTTTTGATCCCTCTGTCCTTCCCGCTAGCAACTGATTCCTCTCTGCTCCCCTTTATAGTAAAACTCTTTGAATGAGCTGTCCCTATTCACTCCCTTCAGTTTCACTGACCTTATCCTCAAACTCAATCCAGTCGGTCTTTCTCCACCCCATTCTGCCCTTGTCCTGTTCACAGGGACCTGCATAATGCCAGATCTACTAAATGCACTGCTTGTTCTAGGTTTTTGTTATTTGAATCAGAAACATTTGACATGGTTGCTCAGTCTTCTCCCTGAAGTGCTTTTCCCAATTGGCTTTAGGTGCCACATACTCTCTTGGTTTCCTCTTTTTTTTTTTTTTTTTTGAGATGGAGTCTTGCTCTGTTGCCCAGGCTGGACTGCAGTGATGCGATCTCGGCTCACTGCAACCTCCGCCTCCCAGGTTCAAGTGATTCTCCTGCCTCAGCCTCCCAAGCAGCTGGGATTACAGGCATGCGCCACCAAGCCCGGCTAATTTTTGTAATTTTTTTTAGTAGAGACGGGGTTTCGTTGGCCAGGCTGGTCTCGAACTCCTGACCTCAGGTGATCTGCCCGCCTCAGCCTCCCAAAGTGCTGGGATTACAGGTGTGAGCCACCACCGTGCCAGGTCTCTTGGTTCCTCTTAATTCAGTTCACCAACTGCCCCTTCTGTCTCCATTATGGGCTTCTCCTCATTTCCTTGACCCCTTAATGTCAAGGTGCCCCAGGGCCTCCTTGGACCCCATGTCTTTCCTTTGTTTACTTATGGAGAACCCATCCAGTTTGTGTTTTAAATACCATCTTTGTGTGGGTGAGCAGCCCACTTCTCTCCTGAACTCCAGACTGGTATTACCACTTAAGTATCCAGTGGACACCTCAAACCCAGCTTGTCCAAAACTGAACTCCTCATCTTGCCCGCGGAAGCCTGCTCTGCTCTGCCGTCTGCATTCTCCCATGGCTTTAATGGAACAGTGTGGAATCATCCTTGGTGTCACTCACACTTGCTTCCACCTGCCCTCGAGTCCTGCTGGCTCTCCCTTCGGCCCTCCAGAGCTTCAGCTGTGTCCGGAGGCAGCCTCCTCCCCTACCACCCCCCTCCCTTACCACCCCCACCCAAGCTGGGGCGCATTGCCTCTCCCCTGCATCGTTCCGGTAGCCTAGCAGGTCCCCCTGCTGCTTCCACTGTGTCGCTGACAATCCATATCCACACAGCAGCTACACAGATCCTTTTAAAATGTCCCATGATGAGCCTTCTCTATCACACCCTCTAATTATGACTTTTTTTCTCAAGGTGAAAGCCAAAGTCCTTAAACTGTCCCTCAAGGCTGCCTTCACTGGCTCTGTGGCCCCTCTCTGACCTCTCTTGCCCTTCTTCCCCTCGCTTGCTCTGCTGCGGCCATGCTGGTCCCTGCCTCTCCGGCACTTGCACTTTCTGTTGCCCCTGCCCACGGTGCCCTTTCCCTGAAATACACTTGGTGTCTCCTCCTTGCAAGTCTCTGCTGAAGTGTCACCATTCAGAGAGGCTTCCTCGCCTTTTAAAAATTGCAGCATCCTTCCCCTCTCCACGTTGCCTCCTCCCCCATTTCCTTCTTTACTATTTTGTCAAAGTGCTTATCACCTCCTAAAAGAAAATTTATTTTTCGGCCAGGCGTGGTGGCTCATGCCTATAATCTTAGCACTTTGGGAGGCTGAGGCCGGCAGATCACTTGAGGTCAGGAGTTCGAGACCAGCCTGGCCAACACTGTGAAACCCCATCTCTACTTAAAAAAATACAAAAATTAGCTGGGCGTTATGGTGGGCTCCTGTAGTGCCAGCTACTTGGGAGGCTGCGGCAGGAGAATCACATGAACCCAGGAGGTGGAGGTTGTAGTGAGCCGAGATCATGCCACTGCAAGCCAGCCTGGGCAACAAAGCAAGACTCCGTCTTAAAAAAATTTATTTTCGTTGTTTATTGTTCATCTCTCTCCACTTTAGTATAAGCTCCATGAGAGCAGGGATACTTCTTTGGATGGGGGTCTGTTTTGTTTATTGCTGTATCCCCAGGGCTTAGAACTGTCTAGCAAAGAGTTGTTATTCAGTGAACATTTATTGCCTTAATCAGTGAAAATGTATCCTCCCTGGGAAGCCTGATGATGTAGCAGAAGCAAACTAATGTAAATGCTAAATATCGTTGAACTCCTATACTTTATCTTAAAAATGTAAATTTTATACTTTACTTTATATATATATATATATATATATTTTTTTTTTTTTCTTTTTTTTTTTTTTTTTTTTTGAAATGGAGTCTTGCTGTGTCACCCAGGCTGGAGTGCAGTGGTGCCTTCTCAGCTCACTGCAACCTCTGCCTCTCAGGTTCAAGTGATTCTTGTGCCTCAGGCTCCTGAGTAGCTGGGATTACAGAGGCGTGCCACCACACCCAGCTAATATTTGTATTTTTTTGTAGAGATGGGGTTTCACTGTGTTGGCCAGGCTGGTCTCAAATTCCTAATCTCAAGTGATCCTCCTGCCTCAGCCTCCCAAAGTGTTGGGATTACAGGCGTGAGCCACCGTGCCCTGCCATGATACATATTTCTTTATTATGGACATAATATTTAAATTACTTAGCATTAAATGAAATCAGAGCTTCAGGAAGATGCCCCTTGGTTATTCTGTGGCCTTGAGTGTCTCCTCTGCTCTCCCTTTGTCTTGGTGGCCATGCCCCACCCCCACAGCCATTTGGAGGCATACTCTAAGTTATAATTATTATTGAAGACAATTACCATGAAGCTTAAAGTATCAAGAAAACAAAATTCTCATTTGCATAATGTTCTTTATAAGGCAGTAGACTGGGATAACTAAATTTTAACCATAAAGCTCCTTGGGTAACTTAGAAGTTTAGTTTTTCATTTTATTCTTACCTCTTCATCCCCAGCCACGGAAACCTTTGTTACCTGGAGAAAAAAAATACCCTTAGAGAAGGATGTTTAAGATGTTTGATTTGTGAAAGGGGCATGGATTGATCAGAACCACAACCACCCTTTATTTATTTAAATTTAATTTTAATTTTTTTGAGATGGAGTCTCGCTTTGTCACCCAGGCTGGAGTGCAGTGGCGTGATCTCATCTCACTACAACCTCCGCCTTCCAGGTTCACGCAATTCTCCTGTCTCAGCCTCCCAAGTAGCTGGGACTACAGGTGCCCGCCACCACTCCTGGCTAATTTTTGTATCTTTGGTAGAGATGGGGTTTCACCATGTTGGCCAGGCTGGTCTCAAACTCCTGACCTCAGGTGATCCACCTGCCTCGGACTCCCAAATTGCTGGGATTACAGGCGTGAGCCACTGGGCCTGGCCAAACCACTCTTTTGAAAGGGAATCCTGAAAGTTAAATTGTACTAAAAAAAAAAAAAAAAGGAATAATTTCAGATTAAGAAGTACAAAATAATTTAAAATTATTATTTTATTTTTTAAAGAGACAACATCTTACTGTATTGCCCAGGCTGGTCTCAAACTCCTGGGCTCAAGGGATCCTCCCATCTTGGCCTCCCAAAGTGCTCCGAATACAGGCATGAGCCACTGCATTAAAATGGCCTGGTGTGGTGGCTCACACTTATAATCCCAGCGCTTTGGGAGGCCAAGGCAGGAGGATTCAACTCCTTGAGCCCAGGAGTTGAAAATCAGCCTGGGCAACATAGTGAGACCCTGTCTTTACAAACAATAAAATAAAAAAATTAGCAGGCATGGTGGTGCAAGCCTATAGTCCCAGCTACTTGGGAGGCTGAGACAGGAGGCTCACTTGAGCCCTGGCATTTGAGGTTACAGTGAGCCGTGATCACACCACTGTACTCCAGCCTGCGTGATAGAGCAAGACCCTGGCAATAAGTTGATCAATCAATCGATGTTAAAAAATGATCGAAAATATCCAGGTTTGATTCCTACCTTTGCCTCATTATTCATCCCCTGGAGGCTGAAGTTATTTTCTGTAAAACAGGGATGATTATGCAACCTATGAGGATTCTTGTGCCTGGGGTATCCCGGCACACAGCAGCATTAAGAAAGGATTGGTCAGGCGTGGTGGCTCACGCCTGTAATCTATGGGAGGCCGAGGTGGGCGGCTCACCTGAGATCAGGAGTTTGAGACCAGCCTGGCCAACATGGTGAAACCCTATCTCTACTACAAATACAAAAATTAGCTGGATGTAACGGTGTGTGCCTGTAATCCCAGAGGCTAAGGCCTGAGACTTGCTTGAACCTGGCAGGCAGAGGTTGCAGTGAGCTGAGATCGCACCAGTGCACTCCAGCCTGGGTGACAGAGAGAGACTGCCATCTCAGAAAAAAAGAATGGATTAGGCCCTTCCCCCTCCATCCGTGTTTCATCTACTTTGGATATGAAAAAATGTTAAATTTCTATAAATTAGCAAATTTAAACTATACCAACTAGTATATATATGTTGTTTTTTTTCCTGAAAGTTTCTATAAAGTTGTTAGCTAAAATCTTATCAGGTTTGTTGTGAATACTCATATGAATTAAGGAAAATTTCAGCAATGATTGGTTAATTTACCTGCAGCCCTCAGGGAGAATCTACATTGTAGCCTGAAGACATACATTTCTAAAAATGACTCTCAAACAAGGCAAAAACCCTTGTTGAAGTAGAATAGTTACACATTTTATGAAGGTGGGGAAAGCACCCATTTAGATGAGGGGAAAAAAATATGTGGTTTAAGCCCCGTTCATTTTTTAACTTAAATGAAACAGTGCATAATGAAGAAATGTTTTGCCAAGAATAACTTGGTACAATGACCGTGGTAGATTTTGGTTACAGAATGTGATTGGGGTTTAGGAGGACGGTATCTGCTTCTGATGTACTGAAGCTCGGGCCTTTTACATCCATGCAGGTTTCCATAGTCAGCAAGAAGCTGTGTGGTTGCAGTCTGAGATTCCAGCGCATGATGCTGTTTAAGTTTTGATGTAAACCTTGGGAAGTGCTTACCCAGGCCTAAGCTTGCTCTTTGTGGAGTGGCTCAAGCTCAGAAAGGTTAAAAACGGAGGTTATTTAAAAGTCACACTCACAATTTTGAATCCCATGTTTATAAAAGTTATAAAAGAGGGCCATTTAAAAGACATGCTAACAGCTTTAGGTCTTTTGAATCTTTGTTCTGGTAGTCACCAGAACAGGACCACGAAGTTTATAGAGGCCAGGATGTTGGACAAGTTTTAGCTGAGACTTGAAGTAGACGGGGGAGAAAGGGCAGAGTGGGACTGAACATTTGATATATTTAAAAAAAAAAAATACATGTTTCAAAGAGCCGTGGTGAGAATGTGTAAAATGCCTTTGAATAATTTCTAAAAGAAAAATAAGGAAAATATTTCGTCTTATCCAGGATTATTTTAGACAATATTGATTCTGTAATTTAAAAAATTAAAAAACAAAATTTTTATTGGGCAGCCCCTGAGCCAGAATAGGTTCAGAGAAGCTCCTTGATTTTGTAATTTTGCTTGAAAGTGTGTGTGTGTTTAAATTCCCTGAAATATTTTCAGTTTCTGCAATGGCTCACATATAGCCGGGCCACTGAATTTACTTGACATTCCAAAAACATACCAGTAATATTTGTGGGATTGCCGGTTTCACCATCTCTCTCATAAACTTGATGCTGTTAAAGTTGTCATATTCTCTCTCTTCCCCCTGTAGACGGAGTCATGCTTTGTCGCCCAGGCTGGAATGCAGTGGCGCCATCTCGGCTCGCTGCAACCTCCGCCTCCTGGGCTCAAGCAATTCTCCTGTCTCAGCCTCCCGAGTAGCTGGAACTACAGTCGTGTGCCACCACGCCTGACTAATTTTTGTATTTATAGTAAAGGCGGGGTTTCACCATGTTGATCGGGCTGGTCTCGAACTCCTGACCTCAGGTGATCCACCCACCTCGGCCTTCCAAAGTGCTGGGATTACAGGCACGAGCCACTGTGCCTGGCCTTTCATATTCTCTCTTACTGATTCTCCACATGTTTCATGGTTTATAATCTCTCTCCCTCCAGGCACAAGCTGATGAGCTCCTTTGGGAAGGGATGGTGTCATCTCTCACACTTCTGTCCCTCATGGTGTCCAGCACAGTGCTCCGTGTATAGGAGAGTCTCCAAACATTCATGTCGAATTGTTGAGTGGAACTTTAAAATTTCACTTCATTTCCCCAAGTTTCTGCCAATACTTTGAACATTTTCTTCCTGGGCCAACACTGCCTCCCACACTGACGCTGAGCTGTTGGCTACTGTGGACTCCTTTCCCAGAGGGTGTTCCAAAGTGTCCTGAGGTTGATGGTCGTGCCGTGGTGTTTCTGGGAACAGTGGGTAGGGGAGGGTGTAAGGGGATGGGCAGGGGCCTGTCCAAGATTCCCTTAGCTTCCCCTCCCTCAGCCTGCCTTTTCCCTCTTACCTCCTCCTCTCTCCAAACTTTGTCCCTGACCCTGGTGCTTGGGACCTGCACCCCCTTCACACCTTTCCCTGAAGGAGCTGGGGTCTTTCTCCATGTATTCTCTTGTGGATTCGGTCCTTCAGGGATCCAGCAAGTGGTTATGGAGCACCGTGTCTTTGAACAAGCCATTTTCTGTTCCCTGGAATTCCTTTCTTTCCTTTCCTTTATTTTTCTTTTTTCTTTTTCTTTTTCTTTTTCTTTTTTTTTTTTTTTGAGACGGAGTCTTGCTCTGTTGCCCAGGATGGAGTGCAGTGGCGTGATCTTGACTCACCGCAACCTTTGCCTCCTGGATTCAAGTGTTTCTCCTGTCTCAGCCTCCCAAGTAGCTGGAATTACAGGCGCCCGCCACCACACCCAGCTAATTTTTGTATTTTTTTAGTGGAGAAGGGGTTTCACCGTGTTGGCCAGGCTGGTCTCAAACTCCTGACCTCAGGTGATCTGCCTGCCTTGGCCTCTCAGTGTGTTGCGATTACAGGCGTGAGCCACCGCGCACGGCCTTCTCTTTCCTTTCTTCATCTAATGGAATCCTACTCATCCTCCAAGACCCACTTGTTGGGTTATCTTCCTTATTGGGTTGTTCCTAACTTTCCTACCAAGAAGTTGAATGTCCAGTGAATGTGTGTGCTTTTTTTTTTAATTTGTGCAGTGCAAAAGGATGAAGCCCATGGACCTAATCTGTGGTGTCCAGATTGCACATTAATGATGGGCCATCTTTAAAAAAAAAAAAAATCTTGTACTTACTGTCTGTATCTGAAGTGTTTGCCTTGGACAATGACTTCCCTTCCCTTCCATTCCTTTCCCTTTCTTTTTTTTTTTTGACGGAGTCTTGCTCTGTTGCTCAGGCTGGAGTGCAGTGGCGCGATCTCGGCTCACTACAACCTCCGCCTCCTGGGTTTAAGAGATTCTCCTGCTCCAGCCTCCCGAGTAGCTGGGATTACAGGTGCCTGCCACCACGCCCGGCTAATTTTTGTATTTTTAGTAGAGACAGGGTTTCACTGTGTTGGCCAGGCTGGTCTCAGACTCCTGACTTCATGTGATCCACCAGCCTCGGCCTCCCAAAGTCCTGGGATTACAGGCGTGAGCCACTGCACCTGGCCCTGACTCTTCTTTTCTTTTTTTTTTGAGTGAGAATCTCTTCTTCACTCAGGCTGGAGCGCAGTGATGCAATCTCCACTCACTGTAACCTCTGCCTCCCAGGTTCAAGTGATTCTCATGCCTCAGCCTCTCGAATAGCTGGGATTACAGGCATGAGCCACTGTGACCGGCTAATTTTTGTATTTTTGGTAGAGATGGGTATCACCATGTTGGCCAGGCTGGTCTCAAACTCCTGTCCTCAAGTGATCTGCCTGCCTTGGCCTTCCAAAATGTTGGGATTACAGGCGTGAGCCACCACGTCCAGCCAACAATGACTTTTCGAATGTTTTGGGACTCGTCGGAGCTTGGCTCTCCTTGGATTTTCTTAGAGTGGATGTACCATTCTGGCAAAACTACCTCTTGTGGTTTTATAAGTCAGTTTTTAAAACATTTCTTTTTTAATCGTGACTCAAGAAGACATAATTTTACTTCACAACCCAGTATATGGACAAACACACAAGCACACACAAGAATTTAGTTTCATGAAACAAATTTTACTCTTACTGGGATTCACTCGTCTATTTTCCGTTCTGCTAGTCTCTCTTCTGCTCTATTTTGTTCTCTTGTATTCATTTAAAAATACTGGTATCAATTCATCGAATGGATTTCATAACCCAACAATGGGCCACGACCCACGGCTTGATCAGCCTTCTGTAAGCCATGCTGCAGATGTTGGGATGTTTTCTAAAACAGGTGTGAGTGTGGAGATCCTCCTTGTGATAAATTGACTTACTAAGGTGATGAACTGGACAAAAAGCTGAGCTATTGTCTCTGTGGAATTTATGACTTTCCCGCTTGTTGAATACCAGCCATGCTTGTCAGCGGAGATCCTGCTCGGAGGGCATTCCTTGCCGCAGATGGGTCTATCCATTCATCTGTTAATATGCATTTGGAAGGAGTCCCGCTGAATTCAAAGACGACCAGTGAGGCCCAACAATGAAAGCTTAGCTTCTGAGGCCCTTCACAGCAGCTTGCTTTCTGCTCACTTTTTTTGTAAGGATTACTCTTCCTAAGCATTATTCCTATGGGGACCAGATGTTCCTTTTGCCTGCCTCTTTATATAAATTGGGTTCAAGTCTTCTTGTGATTAGAAATGAGCTCCTTCAAGTCTTGGTATTCAATTCATGCATTCTGAGTGTAGTTCATTGACTCAGGATGAGAGAAACAGATTCTGGCAGTATTTACAGAGTTTATTAGTAAGTTTGGATCCCTGGTAGAGGTGAATGCTTTTGTTTTAGATTTTTAGGCACATTTGTCCTGAGTTTTAATATTTTCAGTGATAGAGACAATAATAAAACTTCAGGGCAGGATTTCTCAGCTTTGGAACTACTGACATATTAGGCCAGATAATTAATTATTTGTTGTGGCGAACTGTCCTGTATGTTGTACGGGGTTCAGTAGTATCCCCCTAGCCTTAACCCACTAGGTGACAGTAGCAGACCCCAGTTGTGACAACCAAAAATATTCCCAGACATGCCAAATGTCCCTTGGGGGACAAAATCACTGTAGTTGAGAATGACTGCTTTAAGGTTGTACCAGTTCAATGCGCATTCAGGTTATTTTCTTACATTTCCTAACGTGAGTTATCTACTAATGAGAGTGTATGGCTTGTGTCACTGGTTTTCTTTACATTTGATAGACTGCTTGCAAATTAGGTAGTTTTATATGCTGTAATAATTTGGAGGAATTGATCAAAATGAAATGCTAAAACCTAGAAGATTCTAAATTTATCTATATATAATATTTAATTTAATAATAGATAATGAAAGATCTGAAATGACAGTTTTAATAAGATCTAATATCATAATATACAAAATCAGACTTAAAGCTAAAATTTAATAATACTTTGTGTTGCATTATTGAATAATGAGTAGGTAATGACAGACCTGAAACAGCAGTTATTATGAGATCTGATATCATAACATACAAAATTAGACTTATAACTACAAATTAATAATAGTACTCTGTTGCATTTCCCAGTATTTTAGATGGTTTCACATATGTTTCCACACTTGATTCTCAGTCTGTGAGGTAGTAGTGCAGATATTTTTATCCTCAAGTTGCAAATGAGGAAAAAGAAATTCAGAAAGCTTGAGCAGTTTGCCCAAAGTCTCACATGCTGTTTGAGAGACAGAAGCAGGGCTTAACCCGAGTTCGCTGACACAAACCAGACTAGAATTTACGGAGACTCCTCTCCTTAGTGGTTAAAGCTGTCCCCGACCCTCCCCAAATAAAGAAAACCAAGTAGATATTGCTATGGTTAATGATGGCTAGCCCTTTTGTTATCTGGCTCTTGTCACTATCTGAAGTATTTGCCTGGGACTAGGATGAGGGTCCTAGTTTAGTATAAGAATCTCTCTGGAGCGACGTGAAGCCTGTTGGTATCTCCTGGTAGTAGCACTTGCGCTTCCTCTCACGGTCTTGGCCAGCTGTAGATCTCCTTTTTTGCAGTGGCTCCGTTCTGTTTGCTGTCCCCGATCCAGCCCCCGCCCTCCTCGCAGGCCTCTGCTCAGCACCATCTGCCCACCCGGAGGGTTTCCTCCTATTCCCCTTCAGTTGCTCCATCTGGGCAGCCAGCTCAGGGCCTCAGTCCAGAGACAAAGCAGAGGCAGACGATTCTAGTTTTCTTTGCTGTAAATGCCACACTACATGGAACTAGAGAATTTGGGAATCTGACTCATCCAATCAAGCCCAGGCTAAAGGCAAATGAAGAAAAGGTAAATCTCGAATTTCCTCCTGAAAGCTGTTTTTCCCCGGGACTCAGTAGATGACAGTGGCTGTTGGGATTGTGATGGCATACTTAGGACATTCCTCCACATTGCTGCACGCTTCTGGAGTGGTTACTGATCACACTTTTAAGAAAGAAAAACTTCCACTCTTGGTAATTTTAGCTTAAAAAGCTACAGAGCATACTCATGTGAATGGGGACTGGGAGGGAATGCAGAATGGAAGGTAGGATTTTGGGGATTGGGAGGGAATGGAGAATGGAAGGTAGGATTTTGGGGATTGGGAGGGAATGCAGAATGGAAGGTAGGATTTTGGGGATTAGGAGGGAATGGAGAATGGAAGGCAGGATTTTGGGGATTGGGAAGGAATGGAGAATGGAAGGTAGGATTTTGGGGATTGGGAGGGAATGGAGAATGGATGGTAGGATTTTTTTTTTTTGTTCTAGGTCCATGTCATTGTGATAAGTTTTTTAAAATTCCAATATTTATTATAATTGTCCCGTAAATAAAAAATAATTATAAAAAAGTTTGTACACAGCATAAAATGTTTGCTAACTATACACATTCTTGGTGCCACATTATTCCAGAGTGACTTCACTTAAATTACGTCTCTACCAGCCCTGGGCCTCGCCACACGTTATTATACTTCATATCTCTTCCTGCAGGTTAGAAAACCTTCACAGGGGTTGCTGCGGGTGACTGTACGTATACATACTTTTGCTATTTGTAAACACCAGGCCCTTTTAAAGTACTTTTTTTTTTTTTTGAAGAGTTTACATGAATGAAATCTGTTGTTTTTTAAATTTTTTTCAGCCCCCTTTCTATTAACTAAAATAGTTTTTAAACTTGAATATCATAAAATTCCTTTAGTAAAGGAGTCAGGGGGCCAGAGGTTACTGAACATTTGCCTTAAATATTCCCTTGCTTCCAGACAAAAATCATAGCTGAAGCATGACAGAAAAATATCTGTTCAATTTGTCAAATTCCTCAGGGACAATAATTACTTAGCTTCCCTCAGGGAGTATCCTTCCTGTCAATAAATTTCTCATAAATATTGGATAAATTCTTCCTCCTACTGTTTAAGGCTGTTTTTTTTTTTCTTCCCTGCCAGGATTGACCCAACATTGCACATTTGGTCAGCATTATGCATATGTGAAAATGCACTTTGTTCTATATTTCTGTCACTCCCTGTTTGCTTTTCTCTATCTTAATTATGGAAATGTATCCTCGTGAGTTGATATACCAGTCTTTCTGTCATACCCAGTAAGGAGGATTCCCGCCCTTGGTCTGGGGTCCGCATCAACTGTGTAGCACATGAATTGCTGTCATTTGGTCCCACAGGTGTCTATTGAGTGCTTATATGAGCCTCCAGGTGCTAGGCCTTGAGTGCACAGCATCCAGTAGAGGATGGGGGTCTCCTGTGTTTTTAGAAATATCCCATGAAATAAAAAAATTAAGCTATTTAATTGCAAAAGTAGTAAGATGAGCTTAGGTTCTAACCTGCCGCTGGGGCAGAAACTTCCACCTGGGAGTGATTCTGCGGCTTTGAATTCTGGCCTCTTTGTGTGTCTGTGAGTGGCTGACACAGTCGGCCACTCAATCGCAGTTTTGTCCGCTGGTTTTGGCGAGCTCAGGGCCTGTGCTGTGTGTGCTGCAGCTCGGGAGGGCTGACAAAGAGAGGTGGTTGAGGAGTGAGCGGCCGGGAGCCTTTCGCCTCCAGTGTCTTCGCTGGACCTTGGTCTTTACAAAAGGAAACAAATGAAGGCTCACTCTGATCCACTCACTGTGACAGTCTGAGTGGCAGCAGCCAGGAGCTTCTCTGGCCATTTGTAGTTCCCTCAGTTAAAAAATGAAAGGGTAGCTAAGGTTCAACAGCTCAGGCTTTGAACTTTATTTATTTGTTTATTTATTATTATCATCATCATTTTTGAGACAGAGTTGACAGTCTTGCTGCGTCTGTCACCCAGGCTGGAGTCCAGTGGCTTGATCTCAGCTCACTGCAACCTCTGCCTCCCGATTCAAGCAATTCTCCCACCTCAGCCTCCCAAGTAGCTGGGATTACAGGTGTGTGCCCTCACACTCAGCTAATTTTTTTGTAGTTTTAGTAGAGATGGAGTTTCACCATTTTGGCCAGGCTGGTCTTGACCTCCTGGGCTTAAGTGCTCCATCTGCCTCGGATTCCCAAAGTGCTGGGATTACAGGCTTGAGCCACCATGCCCAGCCAGGTTTTGAACTTTTTTTTTCTCTTTTGAGACTGAGTTTCGCTCTTGTTGCCCAGGCTGGAGTGCAACGGCACAATCTCGGCTCACCGCAACCTCTGCCTCTGGCGTTTAAGTGATTCTCTTGCCTCAGCCTCCTGAGTAGCTGGGATTACAGGCATGCACCACCATGCCTGGCTAATTTTATAGTTTTAGTAGAGACGGGGTTTCTCCATGTTGATCAGGCTGGTCTCGAACTCCCGACCTCAGGTGATCTGCCCTGCCTTGGCCTCCCAAAGTGCTGGGATTACAGGCATGAGCCACCACACCCAGCTGGTTTTGGACTTTTAAAAGGTGGGGTTCTTGTGGTCCAGCCCCATGTGTGAGATGGGGCCAGGTTCTAGTGGCAAGTCTAGCAGTTGCTATCCCCTTTTTAGACGTGTGACACAGCTGCCTACTAAAAGGTAGGGTGCCGGCAGTATAGCAGCCACCTTCTCAGTCCTCATTAATTAGAGGCTGAGCTATTGGATTTCCTGCCAATGGCCAAGTGGAAAATCTATTTGACTTTTTTTTTTTTTTTTAATTTAAAATGTATCTGCGTGGATAGACTCAGGCAGGAGATTTGTCTTTGTCTTTGTTAGAGGAACCTAGCTCCAGTGTCTTGCTTCTCCTCCCACTAACTGTAACAGTCACCACTGAGGCCGGGTGTGGTGCCTCATGCTTGTAATCCCAG
Source organism: Homo sapiens (assembly GCF_000001405.40). Lineage (NCBI taxonomy): Eukaryota > Metazoa > Chordata > Mammalia > Primates > Hominidae > Homo > Homo sapiens. The sequence goes on from NC_000006.12 coordinate 155,125,029, forward strand.
CACTTTGGGAGGCCGAGGCAGGTGGATCACCTGAGAGTTCGAGACCAGCCTGGCTAACATGGTGAAACCCCGTCTCTACTAAAAATACAAAAATTAGCTGGGTGTGGTGGCGGGCACTTGTAATCCCAGATGCTCAGGAAGCTGAGGCAGGGGAATCACTTGAACCCGGGAGGCACAGGTTGCAGTGAGTCGAGATTGTACCGCTGCACTCCAGCCTGGGTAACAGAGTGAGACTCTGTCTCAAAAAAAATAAAAGGTGCCATTGAACCCTCCTAAGAAGATATACAGTAGCCAATAAGCACATGAAAAAGATGGCTCAATATCACTTATCATTAGAGAAATGCAAATGAAACCCATAATGAGATACTGCTTATGTCCATTAGGATAACTGCTGTCGAAAAACAGAAAATAACAAGCATGGGTGAGGATGTGGAGGAATTGGAACTCTGCTGCACTGTTGGTGAGCATGTAAAATGGTGCAGCTGTTGCGGAAAACAGTATGGCGGTTCTGTAAAGAATTAAAAATAGGGCTGGGCGCGGTGGCTCACGCCTGTTATCCCAGCACTTTGGGAGGCTGAGGTGGGTGGATCACTTAAGGCCGGAAGTTCGAGACCAGCCTGGCCAACACGGTGAAGCCCTGTCTCTACTAAAATCAGAAAAATTATCTGGTGCAATGGTGCGCGCCTATAATCACAGCTACTTGAGAGGCTGAGGCAGGGGAGTCACTTGGACCTGGGAGGCGGAGGTTGCAGTGAGCCGAGATTGTGCCACTGCACTCCAGCCTGGACGACAGAGCAAGACTCTGTCTCCAAAAAAAGAGAGAAAAAAAAAAGAATTACAAATAGAATAACCTAAGTGGTGTGCTTATGACAATAAATAGTTTATTTTCTAAAAATAAAATAAAAATAGAATAACCTAATGCTATTGCATTTCCACTTCTGGGTATATATCATAAAGAATTGAAAGCAGGGTCTGGAAGAGCTAGTTAAACACCCATGGTCATAGCAGCATTATTCATAATAGCCAAGAGGTGGAAGCAACCCAAGTGTCTCTCCATGGGATGAATGAATAAACAAAATGTGGCATGCACATGTAATAGAATGCTATTCAGCCTTAACAAGGAAGGAAATTCTGACATCTGCTACCACGTGGATGAAACTTGAGGGCATTATACTAAGTGAAATAAGCCAGTTGCAAAAAGACAAATGCTTTCACTTATATGCGGTATCTAGAGTCCTCAAATTCATAGAGGCAGAAAGTAGAATGACAGTTGCCAGGGGCTGTGGGACCGGGGAATTGCTGTTTAATGGGTGCAGAGTTTCTGTTCTGCAAGATGGAAAGAGTTCTGAAGATGGATGTCGGTGACGGTTGTACAACAGTGTACTTACTGCTGCCCTGTACATTTAAAAATGGGTAAGATGGGCCAGGCGCGGTGGCTCACGCCTGTAATCCCCGCGCTTTGGGAGGCTGAGGTGAGCAGATCACCTGAGGTCGGGAGTTTGAGAACAGTCTGACCAACATGGAGAAACCCTGTCTCTACTAAAAATACAAAATTAGCTGGGCGTGGTGGTGCGTGCCTGTAATCCCAGTTACTCAGGAGGCTGAGGTAGGAGAATCGCTTGAACCCAGGAGGCGGAGGTTGCAGTGAGCCGAGATTGTGCCACTGCACTCCCGCCTGGGCAAGAAGAACAAAACTCTGTCTCAAATAAATAAATAAATAAATAAATGGTAAGATGGAAAATGTTATGTTATCCATGTTTGACCACAATTACAAATAAACTTTTTTTTTTTTTTTTAAAGGAACAAAAAGTCACTATTAAGGCCTCACCCCTCTGCTTCCCGTGTCTGTGGCTTCGTGTCCAGCAGTGAGCACGGCCAGAGGGGAGCCTCCCCATCTCAGCCAGTCCTCCTCCCTTTCAGAAGCCCTGCCTTATCCCTCAGAGGGGGACCTCTTGCCCCTGCTAACATGTGCTTGAGAAAGCTTTTAATCTCATTTATGAGGTCAACCTCTACAAGCTAAATTATTTTAACCAAGGACTATTCACTGTGATGTTATATTTTGGGCTTTGTTTTTGCTGCTTGGTCAAATAGAGAACAAGGGCCACCTCTCGTCACACAGCCTGACGCTCCTGCAGCCCTGTGAGACTGAGAGTTGTTTTCCTGGTCATGGTGACAGATGAGCCACGCATGACTCACTGGAGCGGTCTCCCCTGAAACAAAGGCATGCATTTGACTGCAGACTGGGTGTTGAGTTGGTGGCCTTTGCAAGACTGGGTGGGCAGTTCTGGCTTCAAATGACCCTGATGAATCACACGGTTCACAGACGTTTCATTTATTACCTTGACAGTGACCCTGGACACCAGTTGTTTCTTCATATAATTTGCGTTAAGGCTTCCTTTTGACTTTGTGGGAGCTTGGAGTAAAACGCTTCACAGAGTTTTCTTGCGTTTCTGTTTTTCAGGCTCACTTCATGGACTCACTTTGCGTGCTTGTTAAATGTGCTGTGTTGCTCCCAAGACCATGTAAAGCCTACTGACCACTAACCTCCCTCACAGCAGAAACTAGACGTCAGGTAAACCCAACCCTTGTGCCTGGGGGTCACGTCAAGTTGCATGACTGTGATTAAGGTAATAAGTAAAGGTTTAATTATTTGGGCTAGCGATTTTGGTTTTAAAATATTTGATAATTACCACCAAAGAAAAGTCAATCCATTTAACTTCTGTTTTGTGGCTACACATTCTTAGATATAAAAGAATTAAAAATAAAAAGCCTACTAAATATATCTGGAGATCTCACCAGAAGAGCATCACCTCCAACTGACCTAAAATAGTGATATACTGGTTTGAGTGAGAAACTAGCTGGGCATGGTGGCATGTGCCTGTAGTTCCAGCTACTTGGGAGGCTGAGGCAGGAGAATCCCTTGAGCCCAGGGGTTTGAAACCAGCCTGGGCAACATAGCAAGATCCCACCTCAAAAAAATTATTTCAGAATCAAAAGAGATGGTTTCTTCTTTCCTCCCTTCCTCCCTCCCTCCTTCTCCCCCTTTTCACTTTGAGTTTGGCTTAACTAATAGACTCCTTGAGCAAACTGGGGTTTTTACAAGGAAGTAAGAGTCTAATATTAAGTTTTTCTGATGCCCATATTCTAAGTCAGCTTCATACTTACTTCTCTCATCATATTCTAAAGTGAAGATACCTGAAGTCTTTACAAAAGCTCTAGAGATTAGTTTTATTAAAATGTTTTTCTTTCCCAAATGAGAGCTCTTATTTTTTCCCCCATTTTTCATCTCAGCCTCATTTTTGAGGACTTCCAGGCCTTTTTCTTTTGTGGTATTCCTAGAGCCCCAACAGAGCCTGGTACCTGGTGTCATGTTATAAAAATGTGATAGTTTTTGAGCAAAAGTCTCTCAAAATACTGTGGAGAGATTTTAGCTCTACCAGTAGTTTATGTATAATGAAAATGTATCTCTCTGATCACTGAGATCTGTGTATTTAGACTGACAGAATAAAGATACTTTCCCTAATTTTTCTCTTCAAGAATCATTAGTTTGGTCAGGTGTGGTGGCTCACACCTGTGATGCTAGCACTTTGGGAGGCCGAGGCAAGAGGATCTCTTGAGCCCAGGAGTTCAAGACCAGCCTGGAGCAACAGAGTGAGACCCCATATCTTTAAAAAAAAAAAAAAACCCCGAGCTTGAGAGTGGTAGCACGTGCCTATAGTCCCAGCTACTTGGGAAGCTAAGGCAGGAGGATCACTTGAGCCTAGGAAGTCGAGGCTGCAGTGAGCTGTGACTGCGGCACTGCACTCCAGCCTGGATGATAACAGTGAGACTCTGTCTCAAAAAAAAAGCAAAAAAAAATCATTCAAAGTCTCTCAACACCAAGCCTGAAGCAGATCTTTCTCATAAGCTGATTTTTATGCCTGTTCGCCTTCTAAATTAATATTGTATAATGAATAATGTCTTTAAAATAATTAGCAGACAGGTGTGCAGTGTTGTCTGTCTAGCTAATGAGCAGCCTTGCAAAATAAGGAGAGCCTGTTCTACTGACTGACTCTTGTCCCTACTCCTCTGAGTCCTTCCAGGCACTGAAGTTGCTGTGTAATATGCAGGGCATTCTTTTTAGAAAGTTCTGTCATAATGGAATGTAATTTAGGCCACGGTCTTACTGATGCAACTGTTCTTAATTTAGGTTAAAATGGGCAACTCCGACAGTCAGTACACCCTTCAAGGATCTAAAAATCATAGCAATACTATTACTGGTGCTAAGCAAATTCCTTGCTCCCTGAAAATACGTGGCATTCATGCAAAAGAGGAAAAGTCATTGCATGGATGGGGTCACGGAAGCAACGGAGCAGGTTACAAGTCCAGGTCCCTGGCCCGAAGCTGCCTTTCTCACTTTAAGAGTAACCAGCCTTACGCATCGAGACTCGGTGGCCCCACATGCAAGGTCTCCAGAGGTGTTGCCTACTCCACGCACAGGACAAATGCCCCAGGGAAGGATTTCCAGGGCATCAGTGCTGCTTTCTCAACTGAGAATGGCTTCCACTCTGTTGGCCACGAGCTGGCAGATAACCACATCACCTCCAGAGACTGCAACGGACACCTTCTCAACTGCTACGGGAGGAATGAGAGCATTGCCTCCACCCCACCGGGCGAAGACCGCAAGAGCCCCCGAGTGCTCATCAAAACGCTGGGGAAGCTGGATGGGTGTTTAAGGGTCGAGTTCCACAATGGTGGCAACCCCAGCAAAGTGCCTGCAGAGGACTGCAGTGAGCCGGTGCAGCTGCTGAGGTACTCACCTACCTTAGCATCGGAAACCTCCCCTGTGCCTGAAGCCAGGAGGGGGTCCAGCGCCGATTCCCTGCCCAGCCATCGCCCCTCTCCCACGGACTCTCGCCTGCGGTCCAGCAAAGGCAGCTCCCTGAGTTCTGAGTCATCCTGGTACGACTCCCCTTGGGGCAATGCTGGAGAGCTGAGCGAGGCTGAGGGCTCCTTCCTGGCCCCCGGCATGCCTGACCCCAGTCTCCATGCCAGCTTCCCACCTGGCGATGCCAAAAAGCCTTTCAACCAAAGCTCTTCCCTCTCCTCCCTCCGGGAACTGTACAAAGATGCCAACCTGGGGAGCCTCTCCCCCTCAGGTATCCGCCTTTCTGATGAATACATGGGCACGCATGCCAGCCTGAGCAACCGTGTCTCTTTTGCTTCCGACATTGATGTGCCCTCCAGAGTGGCACACGGGGACCCCATCCAGTACAGTTCCTTCACTCTCCCCTGTCGGAAGCCCAAAGCCTTTGTTGAGGATACTGCGAAGAAGGACTCCCTCAAAGCCAGGATGCGACGGATCAGTGACTGGACGGGAAGCCTCTCAAGGAAGAAAAGGAAACTCCAGGTGAGCATACCTTAGAGCAGAGGGAAGGGTCCCCACAGTTTCCCCACCTGGAGAAGGGGAAGGTTAGTAGAAGCCACCATAGAGTGTTGTCGGGGTGCTTAAGTGATCTGGCAAAAGTGAAGAGTTCAGTGGAAAGCCTGGCTCATCTCATTTTCAAGTGTGGGTTTGTTCTCTCTTTTGCTTCAGATATTTTCACTTTTAGCCCACAACTTTAATCTTCCCATGTCTTAGTCAGCTTGGGCAGCAAACAAAATACCACAGACTTGGTTTAATCAACAGACATCTATTTCTCATAATTCTGGAGGCTGGAAGTCAGAGGTCAGAGTGCCAGTGTGGTCCGATTCTGGGGAGGGCTCTCTTCCTGGCTGCAGACAGCCGCCTTCTCACTGTGTCCTCATGCGGCAGAGAGAGCAGGAGGTCTAGGCTCTTTTCCTCTTCTTATAAGGACCCTAATCCCATCATGGGGACTCTACCCTCATGACCCCCTCTAAACCAATTACCTCTCAAAGATGTCAGTTAAATATCATCCACTGGTAGTTAAGGCCTCAACATGGATTTTGGGGAGGGGGGAAACAAATGTTCAGTCAATAGCATTCTGGTTCTGTGCATGTCCCTGCACTCTTCCATGCACTCCACAGGCCTAATCTTAAGACTTGGCCATAGCCGGTGTGGCAGCTCATGCCTGTCATCCCAGCACTTGGGGATGCCAAAGTGGGCAGATCACTTGAGGCCAGGAGTTTGAGACCAGCCTGGCCAACATGGTGAAACCCTGTCTGTACCCAAAATACAAAAATTAGCCTGGCGTGGTGGCGGGTGCCTGTAATCCGAGCTACTCAGGAGGCTGAGGCAGGAGAATCGCTTGAACCTGGGAGGCAGAGGTTGCAGTGAGCTGAGATCACACCTGGGCAACAGAGAGAGACTCTGTCTTTAAAAAAAAAAAAAAAGTAAGTACAGAGTTGGAGAGAATTCCTGAAAGAATTGGTTATCTGAGAATTTTACTAGACCTCATTCTTACAGTCCAAATAAAACAGTTGAGATTGTCATTATTTTTGGTTGAATAGGCTTGTTGAACTTGATATTACTCTGATGAAATTAAAATTTCTATGCTTAAGTTGGTACATCAAAAAAAAAAGTTGATGATATATCTACATGTGTAATCTTTTTTTTTTTTCTTTTTTTTGAGACAGAGTATCGCTCCGTTGTACAGGCTGGAGTACAGTGGTGCGATCTTGGCTCACTGCAACCTCTGCCTCCCGTGTCCAAGCGATTCTGCTGCCTCAGCCTCCTGAGTAGCTGGCATTACAGGCGTGCACCACCATGCCTGGCTAATTTGTGTATTTTAGTAGAGACGGGGTTTCACCATGTTGGCCAGGCTGGTCTGGAACTCCTGACCTCAGGTGATCCACCTGCCTCGGCCTCCCAACATGCTGGGATTACAAGCGTGAGCCACCACATCCGGCCTATATGTGTAATCTTAACCTCCTCATGGAGATAGCTAATGGCATCCTGAAAATATCTTGTACCTAAGTGCATGTAATAGAAAAATATATATACTGATAAAACTGATAAAATAAGAATGATGAATATACTTCTGTATCATGGCATGTAAAGTTTTACTGGGGGAGCAAAGTGGCTTATCCACCAGGAAGAAAAGTGATAGTTTGCCTTTTTAGGTAATTAGTGGCAATTGCTAGATTTTCAGTTTGTTGTTGTTTTGTTATTTGTTTTTATTTTTGATTATTTATATAGGGGAGAAGCTTCTTTTTAAATTACTCTGTATAAGTCATGGAGTTGAAGGGAATTTGTGTGGGCAGTTAGTCTCTAGCAGAATTGCATCCTAGATAGACATAAAATTATAAAATTATATAGAGATTTAGGGGTGGAAAATAATATAACTTTTTTGAGTAGATTGCTTCAGATTTATGAAGTTTGACTTTCGTTACTTCCTTCTGATGTATATAGCGTGTCTGCCTCCACCACCCCCTCCTGTGCTGGGCTTCGGTTCTCCCTCCTCTTCCTTCACACAGAGGTGAAGAACAGATGATCAGCATCCTGTTTTCAGGGCCTCTTCATATCCCTGAATATATTGTAGTAATTTGTATAGTGATTTTACTCCTGGATCATCACTTTTTCAGACTAAACCACAAAATAGTAGAGATTTCCTTGACTTTTTTCTCTCAGCTCCCATTTCCTAAACAACTGATCCCCACTGAGCATAATGGGAGACGCAGCTTCTGCTTACTTGAGGGCTGAAGTCCCAGGTGGACAACGTCCACGCCTTTTTGATTCAAGTGTTATGGTGCCCACCTGTGTTCAGCTGTCATCCACTGTGTCCCCTAATTGGTGGTGGCATCGAGCCAATGATTCTGCATCTCTTATGTGCACTGAGTTTGTTGCTCATCTGTATATGTGGCCTGGCTTACACGCGGCTCTAGTGAGCTGCATTCAGTGACAGTTCCCACTTGGTTCAGATGTAGACCAGTGGCTGCTGTGTATGAATCATTCTATCACGGGTAAGTATCCCTCCTTGCCTCTCCTGTCAAGTTACCCTCCCTGCGTCTCCTACCCACGGGAACTGGGTCTCCTTCAATTCTGCATTGTCCAAAAACTTAACTCTGAATTGTGTGCCTGTAGAGTTAAAAACAAACCGGTTAGGGCCGGGTGTGGTGGCTCACGCCTGTCATCCCAGCACTTTGGGAGGCTGAGGCAGGCGGATCACTGGAGGTCAGGAGTTTGAGACCAACCTGGCCAACTTGGTGAAATCCCATCTCTAATGAAAATTAGCTGGGCATGCTGGCATGTGCCTGTTAGTCCCACTACTTGGGAGGCAGAGGCAGGAGAATCGCTTGAACCTGGGAGGTGGAGGTTGCAGTGAGCTGAGATCACGCCAGCGCACTCCAGCCTGGGCAACAGAGTGAGACTCCATCTCAACAACAACAACAACAACAAAACAGCAACAACAACAAAAAACTGGTTAGAATCAAGGAATTAGAATTTTATTATTTATTTTATTTTATTTATTTATTTTTTGAGATGGAGTCTCTCTGTTAAAAAAAGTACCTTCTTAGCAAATTTCAGGCATAGAATATAGTGTTATTAACTGTAGTCACCATAATTTACCTTAGAGCTCCAGAACTTATTCCTCCTGCAAAACTGAAGCTTTGTACCCTTTGAGCAGCATCTTCCCATTGCCCTCTCCTGCCCCTGGCAACCACCATTGTACTCTCTGCTTCAATGAGTTGGACTATTTCAGATTCCACGTATAAGTGGAATCTTGCAGTGCATGTCTTTCTGTAGAGTGACATCTCTTGAGTTTTTACTCTTTTTTTTTTTTGAGATGGAGTCTTGCTCTTTTTGCCCAGGCTGTAGTGCAGTGGCGCCATGTCGGCTCACTCAAGCGATTCTCCTGCCTCAGCGTCCTGAGTAGCTGATCCGGATTACAGGCGTGTGCCACCACCCCCAGCTGATTTTGTGTTTTTAGTAGAGACGGGGTTTCTCCATGTTGGTCAGGCTGGTCTCGAACTCCCGACCTCAGGTGATCCACCCTCCTCGGCCTCCCAAAGTGCTGGGATAACAGGCGTGAGCCACCTGGCTTGAGTTTTTACTCTTGAGTCTTTACTCATCTCCACTCTGCTGTACTGCCCTAGTCATCAAGTTACATTAGCCCTTGTTTCTGATTATTCGATTTGATGGAAGTGAAGTCACTTGTATGGAAATGGAAATCGTATGATTTGTGTGTGTGTGTATATATATATATATAGCAGGCACCTTAGTTTCATCCGCATAACAGATGATTAAGAATTCTAGCTGAACCTATTTAAAGACATTCTATATTTTTTAAAGGCTCTTTTTTATTAGCCTGAAAATTAGTGACTGGCTATTAGGATTCTAGATAAAAAGATTTGGAAATTTATTAGAGACTGGGAGAGTTCATACCTATGTATAAGAATAAGTTATAAATGCTAAAATGCATCCCCCCACCCCCCCCCATTTCTGAAAAAGAAAACTCCTTGCTTTGCTATGGTTAAACATTTAAAAGTTGGCACTGTAAGTTGAGAAGCAGTGTCAAGAGTGTGTGTAGGTCACACTTAACTTTGGGACTTCTGTGCCTTTCTGTGGCAGAATTGGGCTTGTTTTGAAGCATATTCCGTCATGGCCCTTGCAGGGTATCAGAGGTAATTCCAGTGTTTTTGGGCGATGAGTCAGAGGGACATATTTATAACTGAGATAATGTTAATACTAGCTAGATGAGAAGTGTTTCTTCACCTTTTAGGAGTTTTTTGTTTTTTTGTTTTGTTTTTCTTTTGAGACAGAGTCTCGCTCTGTCGCCGAGGCTGGAGTGCAGTGGCGTGATCTCTACTCACTGCAACCTCCGCCTCCCGGGTTCAAGCGATTCTCCTGCCTCAGCATCCCAAGTAGCTGGGACTACAGGCATGTGCCGCCGCACCTGGCTAATTTTTCGTATTTTTTGTAGAGACGGGGTTTCACCGTGTTAGCCAGGATGGTCTCGATCTCCTGACCTCATGATCTGCCCACCTCAGCCTCCCAAAGTGCTGGGATTACAGGCGTGAGCCACCGAGCCCAGCCAGGAGTTTTTGAAAAGCAACAAATTGACAATTAAAAAAAAAACTCTAAGTATTTCTAAAGTTTCCTGTCCAAGTGACTCACAACAGCTGGTTTATTTGCTCTGTTATGCATAAGCATCAGTGTATAAATAAATATGACTGGAGATGCAGTGTAAACAGTGGCAAATCATATTTCTATTTGTAATATCTGCTTGGGGCGCAGTTGTTCATGGCTCCTGGGTATTTGGAAGTACTCTCCAGTTGTGTGATTATTCTCTTACAAAACAGCAAGTAATTGCAACTTGATTTTTGGATGAAATTTCTGAAAAGGAAACCTCTCTATACAATGTAATATTCAAAATAAGGCCTTTAGTCAATGGTCCTTGACCCAGTTTTCCATCATTTTTATTTTAATGCATAAGAAAATATAATCAAAAGCCCACTAGCAGCTGAGTAGTCTTGAGTGTGCTTGGCGTCTCTGCAGAGTTATCTTCATTTAAGCCATAAATGTTGAATGTCAGTGCCTTTTGAGTCAGAAGTTAAGCTCACTTTATGCTGAAAATTTTAATTACTGCCATTTACCAGTGAAAAGCCTGTATGCAAATTATTTTTCTTCAGTGACTAGACTTCTAATCCAGATATTAGAGAAATGTCTTTATGTTTTCAGCTCTGTGCATGGCCAGCTTGATGTTCAATGCACCTGGTCCTCACAGGGAGCAACATTATTATATAAGTATGCATTGTATTTAGAGCTACCTGTGTTTGATTTTTGTGTTGGAGTAAATACTGCAGTTAAGAATCATGTCTTTGATATCTCCAGTACCTAGAATAAAATAGGTACTCAAATGAAAGGATGTGAATGAATAAATGGGTATATTTTTTTCATGAAAGTAATTCTCTAAGTAAGAAATATTAATTATGAAAAAAACTGGCCGGGCGCGGTGGCTCATGCCTGTAATCCCAGCGCTTTGGGAGGCTGAGGTGGGCGGATCACCTGAGGTTGGGAGTTTGAGACCAGCCTGACCAACATGAAGAAACCGTGTCTCTACTAAAAATACAAAATTAGCCAGGTGTGGTGGCGCATGCCTGTAATCCCAGATACTTGGGAGGCCGAGGCAGGAGAGTCACTTGAACCCAGGAGGCAGAGGTTGCAGTGAGCCAAGATTGCGCCATTGCACTCCAGCCTGGGCAATGAGAGCGAAACTCCATCTCAAAAAAAAAAAAAAAGAAAAACAAAAAAGCTATAGTTACTAGCCAGTACCCTTCATAGATAAGGAATCCTAAGTGTATTATTATTGTTATTATTTTTGAGATGGAGTTTCGCTCTTGTTGCCCAGGCTAGAGTGCAATGGCCTGATCTTGGTTCACAGCAACCTCTGCCTTCCAGGTTCAGGTGATTCTCCTGCCTCAGCCCCCTGAGTAGCTGGGATTACAGGTGCTCACCGCCAGGCCTGGCTAATTTTTGTATTTTTAGTAGAGACGGGTTTCACCATGTTGGCCAGGCTGGTTTTGAACTCCTGGCCTCAGGTGATCCACCTGCCTCGGCCTCCCAAAGTGCTAGAATTACAAGCATGAGCCACCTCGCCATCTATTATTTTTACTATATGAACTGGGAAAATAAGATACTAGAGATCTCAAAGTCTAGAAGTCTAGACCTGGGCACTTGGCCAGAAGCTGGGGACTATAGGGAGAGGAAGAGAAGTTTTTGGGTTTTGCATAACAATACTGAGTCCCTGTCTTCCCCACCCTACCCTGGTATAGTAATTTTCTAATTTACCTTTCAAATGATCCAGGGAAAAAATAAATTGCAAGAATATGAATTCTTTCCTGGAAGATACTGATTCATGGTTAGCAATGAAGAAAGAAATATCATTCTAGTAATCTTCACTAGTGTGTTGTAAACATACTAGTTAATTTCTCGATGCTAAGCATAGGTTAGATTTAGGAGAGCCATTTGTATTTTATTTACCTCTTTAAGTGCTAATTCTACTGGATATAAATTGACTTGGGCAACACTATTTTTAAAATTCTTTCTGGTATGAAGACTTGATGGTTAAAGATGTATTTTTGTTACAAGAATCTTGCTTTGCATTACATTATCAGCAGCCACTGGTATTACACTTATGCTGTGTGCAAGAAGGGATGCTTTGGATAGCCGTAAGCTCTGATGGGTGATCATGTGTGTTTCTCACAGGAGCCGAGGTCCAAGGAGGGCAGTGACTACTTTGACAGTCGCTCTGATGGACTGAATACAGATGTGCAGGGATCCTCCCAGGCATCTGCTTTTCTGTGGTCAGGGGGCTCTACTCAGATCCTGTCTCAGAGAAGTGAATCCACACATGCGATTGGCAGCGATCCCCTCCGGCAGAACATTTATGAGAATTTCATGCGAGAGTTGGAAATGAGCAGGACCAACACTGAGAACATAGAAACATCTACAGAAACCGCCGAGTCCAGCAGCGAGTCACTCAGCTCTCTGGAACAGCTGGATCTGCTCTTTGAGAAGGAACAGGGGGTGGTCCGGAAGGCCGGGTGGCTCTTCTTCAAGCCCCTGGTCACTGTGCAGAAGGAAAGGAAGCTTGAGCTGGTGGCACGAAGGAAATGGAAACAGTACTGGGTAACGCTGAAAGGTGAGTGCAGTGTCACCTGCTGAGGCCACTGGGGATTGTTTCCGCCAGCCGTGCTCTTTGCCAGGAAGTGCCAAGAGACTAGCATTGATTTGAGTTCACATGAGGGGTTTGACACAGGATCCATGGGCTGCCTTCATGCAGATACTTTCTCACACCCGTGAAATAGGCTTTACCTACTATTCACATGTATTATGCAGTTCAATAAATAATTAGTGGATTTTTTACTTGTTTTTATTTTTTTTGAGACAGAGTCTTGCTTTGTTGCCCAGGCTGGAGTGCAATGGCAGGATCTCAGCTCACTGCAACCTCTGCCTCCCAGGCTCAAGCAATTCTCGTGCCTCAGCCTCCTGAGTAGCTGGAATTATGGGCGTGGGCCACCACACCTGGCTAAGTTTTGTCTAATTTTTAGTAGAGATGGGGATTCTTCATGTTGACCAGGCTGCTCTCATAACTCCTGACCTCAAGCAGGTTGTCCACCTTGGCCTCCCAAAGTGCTGGGATTATAGGCATGAGCCACTGCACCCGGCCTATTATAATGGTTGGATTTAATACTTATTGCTTATTTCATAGGTATTTAGCTTATTTATAGGTATGCCTGTACCATTTTCGCTGGATTTGGAGAAAAAAAAGTCAGTAACCAAAGGTAGTTTAGTTGTTTGGAAGGCAGCTTCTGAATTTCACATTCCGTACATGTTCAGAACTCCAAAGAGGTTTTCTTTCCAGCTTGTGCAACTAAGATTATCATCTGGATTATTGATTTGTCATTCCAGCTTTATGAACAAAGTCTGTTTGTTGTCATCACTAACAAGTGCAGCCGTCTTTTTTTTTTTTTAATATACTTTAAGTTCTAGGGTACATGTGCACAATGTGCATGCAGGTTTGTTACATAGGTATATGTGTGCCATGTTGGTTTGCTGCACCCATCAACTCGTCATTTACATTAGGTATATCTCCTAATGCTATCCCTCCCCCATTCCCCCATCCCTCAACAGGCCCCAGTTTGTGATGTTCCCTGCCCTGTGTCCATGTGTTCTCATTGTTCAATTCCCACCTATGAGTGAGAACATGCGGTGTTTGGTTTTCTGTCCTTGTGATAGTTTGCTGAGAATGATGGTTTCCAGCTTCATCCATGTCCCTGCAAAGGACAGGAACTCATCCTTTTTTATGGCTGCATAGTATTCTGTGGTGTATATGTGCCACATTTTCTTAATCCAGTCTATCATTGATGGACCAGCTGTCTTTTTTTTTTAAACATAAAGGCAATAGAAGTGAGAATTTGTTTTGTTGACATGAGAAAAGTTTTTTATAAGCATTGCCATTTAAAAACTATAATTGCCTTGAGGAAGAGAGAAGCTCCAAATCTGTACAGCGTTGATTTATGCAGATGCACCCAGAGCGGCCTCGCAGCCTCTGGCATTCTGCACAGCCCCCTGGGACTCTTTGTCAGAGGAGCTGAGTGTGTTGTTCAAAAGCCAAACCTCATCGTCAAGTGATGCCCTTCCCTGTCACAGGAGAGAGCAGAAACATCTGCAAATACTACGTGTGCAATGTCCAGTGCCCTCTCAATTACCCCTTTCTAGCTTTTCTTTGCCCCTTATCGAACAGTTGGAGCCCTGCTTCCCCAACCGTGGAGGGCAGGCATCATGCCTTCGTTACCACAAGCCCCTCTGGCACCTCTGGTAAAGGAGCACTTGCAAAGGCATTTCATATCCAAGTGATACCTTTTCCTAGCAGGCCGGCGGGTGTACAAAGCCCAGGGGCCCAGCATTCCTCACACGCTGCAGTCCTCTTTTCCATCCCTAGATTTGGATGCTTGTAGACATTGTGGCTGGCTGAGGAAGGTAAAGAACGTCCCCAGTTTTTCCATACTGGCGAGGCAGATTTCTGTATTGAATGACAGAAACAATTTGGAAAGGTAGAATAATGGGTTGAATCTGGCAGGATTAACATTTAAAGAGATAAGAAAGTTCTGCTTTAAGGTTTAAAAGTCAGATAGCTACCCAAGGACAGGATAGGGAAATGTGGCTGCAAACTATTATGAGTGAGGCCAGGTGTGGTGGCTCACACCTGTAATCCCAGCACTTTGGGAGGCCGAGGCGGGTGGATCTCCTGAGGTTAGGAGTTTGAGACCAGCCTGGCCAACATGGTGAAACCCCATCTCTACTAAAAATACAATAATTAGCCTGGCATGATGGCAGGTTCCTGTAATCCCAGCTACTCAGGAGGCTGAGGCTGCAGAATCGCTTGAACCTGGGAGGCGGAGGTTGCAGAGAGCTGAGATCATGCCACTGCACTCCAGCCTGGGCGATGAGTGAAACTCCATCTCAAAAACAAACAAACAAACAAACAAACCAAAACAAGTATTATGAGTGAAAAAGATGTCGGGATTTAATTTGCAGGCCATGTGTTTCCAAGTTGATGTGGCTGAAAAGGTAAATGTGATTTCAAAGAGCAAATGTGATCTTTAGCTACCTCATTAGAGATGTCATGTGATCATCAGCTACCTCCTTAGAAATGCTATATCTCTTGCAAAGGAGATGACAGTGTCTCCTTTCTTTGCCCTGGTCAGAGCTGGTTGTTTCCCTCCTTGTGGGCACAATATTGCAGGAGATTTGTTAGGAAATGAGAAATTGATCCTTGAAAGGTTGTCCTGGAGGATCCCTAAATGGGGAGAGAGTGAACATGTTCCCTTAAGGGGTAAACATCTGGGACTGTTTGTGAATCATAGTCTGAAGCTGCCTCCTAGTCACATGATGTGAATACTTAGAATGGATGCACGTTACCCCATCATTTGTCATGTATCTACTTTTTAAGTGTGAAATTTGTTTCTTAAAATTAATTCTGTGAGAATTTCTTCCCTGCCTGTCTATGGATTTGAAAACCCCCAGTATACATCACCCTAGTGGTGGGGGTTAGACTGGGAGGCAGGGTGACTGTGTGTGTATGTGTGTGTGTGTGTGTGAGAGAGAGAGAGAGAGAGAGAGAGAGAGAGAGAGAGAGAGAGAATATACCACTTTGAGAGGCTGGGCCATAGGTGATGACAAGGAGATTTAGAGCCGTGCTAGATGGAGGAGGGCATAAAGATCTAGGGATATTTAGCATGGAGAAAATAAGAACTGGGTGAGAGTGAACAGCAGTGTGTAGAAGAGACATTGAATTTATTCTGGGTCTGCAGAGGTTAGGATGGGACTAATAGATGGGAGACAGGCTGATTCTAAATTAATATAAAAAACAACAGTGACAGCCATGGGCACGTGGAAAGATGCTCCCTTTTTGATTTCTGTGCTACTGACCACATTTGTCCAGAGCCAAATTGTCGCAGGCTTCTTGAGGGAAACTCAGGCAGATATCACTTAAGGGCTGGAAGAGCTGATTGGCAGCTTCCTGTATTTTATCCCAAAAGGTAGACCAGGAACTTCTGGCTACCAACTTCAGGGGTAGTGATGGGCCTGAGTTGTCACTGAGCATTGCTAGATTTGTAGTCTTGGCTAGGTCCTGCTTTCCTGGTGTTTGCTTGTAAAACACTTCAAGATCCATGGATAAAGGGTGCTTTGTAGTATAAATGTTATCAAGCACACATTTCTTCCTTTCCTTTGCAGCCAAGGCAAGACTTGTGATAAAGATGTTTTTTTCCCCAGCGTAACCTTTTCCATGTGGCTTTCTACACCTCTTTCCTCTGGGAATTCAGTATGTTGAGTTCTAATTTCTTGGCTTAGAATCCAAGTTGTAATGTTTGGACTTAACTGTTTGGTTTAATCTTAGTTAAAAACACATATATGTGTACACACACACACACACACACACACTCTTAAGCCTAATTTTTAAATTATCCTTAAAGTATCCATGTAAATAAATGGGAGACAGTTTTCTGGAGAGAGCCGTTATTAACAAACCATCTGGTTATCTGCCTACCTGGAATGTATAGGTATATGAGGGACGTACATGTTTTTCAAGGCTTTGGAGGATGTAATAAATTTTCAACAAGGGTAATTCTGCTTTCCATTTGTCTTTTCCAGTGAGTGGATTTTCATGCAGTTCACTGGGGACTTCCTGGGCTGAAGAGTTGGCAAGGTCATTAAACATATCCCTCAAAATGTGCAACAGACTGAGTGATAGTCAGTGTCAGGGGAGGAGTTCATAAACTAATTTTAGAATACTGGTGATTCTGCCCTGAGATGGGCCAGCAGCAGGGATGGGAGATCAAAAGGGTCTCATAGAAAAGGTGGATTTGAGGGAAAACCAAGACTAATTGCCCTCTTTCCCCTGGGTGAGATTTCTACTAATATTACGTCTCTATTCTTGTACTGCCATTGCTATGCCAATCTGTTTTCTCTTTCTGCTACCATAGCAAGAACGTCCAGTGTCAACGACCCCTCCAAGCCAAGACCAGCGCTTGGTAGGGACTGGACAGGGCTGGGGGCCCCCAGCACCGGGGTGAACGGCAAGGCAGGGCTGGTGGCCCCCAGCATCGGGGTGAACGGCAAAGGCAGGGTTGGGGGCCCCCAGCACCGGGGTGAATGGCAGAGGCTTCACTGACACGGGTGCAGCCCGTTTCCACTGGCCCCAGTGCACCCTTAGAGATGCAGAGTCCCGTGAAGTTGAACTTGATGTCATAGAGTTAAGATTGATTTCCTGATTTTTTAAATTTGATAGCCACAAAATTCTGCCTATTGTTTTACTTCCTGGCCTGGCTCTAATGTGAAATGTCCTGTTTTGATTTCATGCCTCCAAGTTAGAGCGGTAGTCTGTTGTCCATGGGTTGTTAGGTTTGGTGACATTTTGGCATTGGCCCAAGGTTTGCATTCATTTCCTCTAGATGCCACGATTTAAACCATGGCTGTTGGAATTCCAGTGTTAGGGAAGCTGGGAAGTGAACGTGAACCCATTGGAAAGAATTTGGACGTGTGTGCAGCTGGAGCTGCTCTGCCCCTTTGCCCTGGTCCTCGGGCCCCGGGTCATGGCTTGTAGCATGTGCAACAGTAGCATCAGATGGGCCTTACTCGATGAGAAGACTTGGTTTATAGTTTAACTGCTGCATCAGTGGCTGGAAAAAGATACTGGCCAGGCCTGCAAGAAGCAGCTCTGGCTGTAAACCTCTTGCTACTTTCCCTTGTTTGTAATACTTGAGTTCTGTCAGCCTGTTAGTTTGGATGAGTTTTATTTGCGGGGAGGAGCAAATGCGCAGTTTCTTGAGATCATAAAGTACCATGGAGGGAGAAAGTACTGCTTCCGAAGTCCAAGCTTGGAGCAGGCATCTTTCTCTCTTGGCTTCTATGTGCTGTTATCGGTTCTATTGTATAAACTTGTTTGTTCATATCAAGACTTATTTTTAAAGGAAGTAATGAAATTGGAAAGACTGAAATAGTTTTCAAAACGTCTGAACTTTTATGAATGAGGATGCAAACACAGTAGTAGGATAAAGTACCGTGAAGTGGGCCCCAGGCATTTGTTTACAGTGAAGGCAGGCTGGTGTTTCTTTCCTGTCAATGTGAAAGGCACTTGCGAAGCACCCAGATGGTGGTCATGTCATTGTTATTCGTATGCTGGAGGTTGCCACATGAGAAGTGGTCAAAAAAGTTTATTGGATACAGATTTGAGGGGATAGTTAACCTATACAAGAGGACACATTTGTGAGCATTTTAGAAGCATTAGTTTGCTTAAAAATTGTGTCTAATAATTATAATGCAATTTCTAATTAATGAAGCAAACTCTTAATAACTTCTACCTGCAATACTTTATTTGCTTATGAGGGGAAGAGTAAGTACTTAAAAGCATATGTTGCAGTATTTTTAGAGTAACGTTTGAAAATTCAGGCACATTTAGTTTCACTTTTCTCCCTTAGTCTAAGTAATGTTTTCTATTAGTTTCACTTTTCTCCCTTAGCCTAAGTAATGTTTTCTATTACTGTGAGATAAAAGGAAATACTAAAAATTAAGTTATTTTACATGGCATTTGGAGAACAAACCGGGTACTTTCTCATAAATGGCAAAGTCCCCTAGGTATGTTCAGTTTCTTGTTCCCATTGATGGTCAACGGAGTGAGTGAGTGTGGGATTTTCTGTGGCCTCTTACATTGAGATTCCCTAAATAATGTGGTGTTGTGCTTAAGGATGAGGGCTTTGGGGCCAGAGGGCCTGAGTTCACATCCCTGCTGCTCCACAGTGCAGCGGTGGGACCCCTGCAAGGAATTCGATCTCTCAGTTTTCTCATTTTTAGTGTGAAAGGAAAATAAAACCTGGGGACCCCAATTCCTGATGCCAGAAGGAAAAAAAAAACAAGCCGAAAGCTGAGTCATGCAAGAAGCTGCCTTTCCTTTTCTTTCTAAGCAGGAGCTACAGATAAAAGGTTAAATATCCCCACAGGTAGCTAGCTACTCTGTGTTCACCTTATCTTATGTAAAGTGCTGGATGATTACGTGATTGACAGTTCCCCTGCCTGCTCCTTTTCCCTTGCAGCAGGTGGATTACCATGCTCTCCCTCGTTCCTCTCCAGCCCACTTTTAATTTTTAAACACTGAAGCCCTCAACATCGTCTTTGGAGAAAAGCACAGACCACAGACTATTTCTGTGATTCTGTGTTCTCTTCCTCCGGGCATGTCCACAACTTTGGCAAAATAAACTTCTCAATGGATCGAGACCAGTCCTAGATACTTTTTGGGTCACAGTAGAATGGGCTAAATAACCCTGCCCACCTTAGGGCCTCTATGGGGATTAAATAAGCCAGTGCATGTGGAGTACTTAGAAGAGTTAAGCAACAACTTATTATTTGGTATTGTTATTACTGATATTACATTTACAAAGACATCTCATTTTCATTCAAGTTCATTCTGATACAACTAGGTGTACTTCAGATGCCACTTTTCCTTGTTTACCATGTTTCTGTCACATGATTGTCTCACTCAGGTGTTTTTAAAAAAGTGTGTCACTTACCCTCCCAGTCCTTTCCTGCATCTCCAGGTCTGACCGGGATGTTATTTTGCTTCTCTGTTTCACAGGATGCACGCTGCTGTTTTATGAGACCTATGGGAAGAATTCCATGGATCAGAGCAGTGCCCCTCGGTGTGCTCTGTTTGCAGAAGACAGCATAGTGCAGTCTGTTCCAGAGCATCCCAAGAAAGAAAATGTGTTCTGCCTCAGCAACTCCTTTGGAGATGTCTACCTTTTCCAGGTACTGCTGGTACTTTGTAAGTGGAGGTAATAGCTTATGTACTGCTAGAATAAGAAGGAACAGAAAAGGCAAAACTTGGAAATGAAATTGAATAAATACTTAGTTAGGCTTTGGATTTGGCCTTAAGCAACAGATGTTGGCTTCCGCTGACTGCCAAGGGCACTGGGCCATCAGCAATCCAGTCATTCATCCAGAGGGCACTTTTCAGGTGCCTCTGAAGTCCCAGGCTGTGGCCCATGAGATGCTCATTGGGACACAAAGAGAAAAAAATCATGATCCCTGTCCTGGAGTAGCTGGCGATCTAGTGAGCGCAATGGTCAAGATTCCCAGATTTGGGGCTTTTAAAATGAAGCTTGGAGAATATTGATGGGAGAGGCTTGGGTTCTTGCCACGGATCTCAGTGGATGTCAAAAGTTTTCAGGAAAACCCTCATAGACAAATGCTATGAGGTCTCATTTCCCTGTGGAAGTGGTCTTAGGATCTTAAGATTCAGGTTATCTACTGTTAGAATTTTCAGTGACTTTTTAGCCAGTGAGATGTTGTAGAACATGGCGGTACTGAGCCATCGGTATTGGGGTCGGGCTTAGGTTTGAATCCTGGCACCTTTGTTAGCGTTGAGTTTGTAAGTGATCTTGGAGCGCGTACCAGACTTCTCTGAGCTTTGGGCCCTTCAACCAGTAGGATAATAGTGGCTTACATGATTGCCGTAAGAGTAAATGACATCGTGTGTGTGTTAAATGCTTAATAAATTTTAACTTGGTGATTAATATTAATTCAGAACAGGTGAGAGTGAGAGCTGGGAAGTGAAGTGTGCTTCTTAAATGTCCCCCATCTAAACCCAGCACTTGACATACACACAGTGTTGGCCGTAGGTTACATCTGACTGGAAGTTTCATGGAAAGCCTCGTAAAGCTTGGGTTTAGATCTCTCATAAGGATGGTCCTGGGTGCCCTCAGAAGCCCTGCAGAGCAACAGTGTTCTCTAGGCTGACTTTGGGAGTCTAGAATGCTCAGAAGTGCTCCCTCACTTACCCAGTGCTGGGTTAAGCTCCCTGGGCCTTTAATTGTACTGCCATTCCCAACCTGACTTAACTTACTAGAGCCAGGGCCTGAGATTTGATTTTCCTTTTCTTAACAGAAAGGTTGCTTAAAACCTTCTATGATACTTTAAAGCAAAGTAATGAATTTATGTTAGTCTGAATTGTAAGGAAGGTAAAAAAACAAACAACAACAACAAAAAGTTACATTAAATCTGCATGGATTTCTTAGGGTCAAGTGTGAAATGAATGTTTTATTTTGTGATTCAGGTAAAACATCCTTAGTTTTGAGAGTTTTCCCGCCTGTGATCCCAGCACTTTGGAGGCTGAGGCAGGAGGATGGCTTGTGGCGAGGAGTTTGAAATCAGCTTGGTCAGCATAGCGAGGCCCCATCTCTACGAAAGAACAATAAAAAAATTAGCCAGGCATGGTGGTGCGCACCTGTGGTCCCAGCTACTTGGGAGGCTGAGGCTTGAGGATCATTTGAGCTCAGGAGGTCAAGGTTACAATGAGCTATGATTGTGCCACTGCACTCCAGCCCAGGCGACAGAGTGAGACCCTGTCTTAGCAACAACAACAACAGAATTTTCCCAGGTGTTCTGTTTTGTGATCCCAGAGGCCACTTGAGGTTTGACCCTGTGACTCGAATGTGTGTGGTTATTTCTAGACATCAAGAGAAATGAAAGTACTTGTCAGCCTGCTTAGAATCATACCCATTTGCCCACTTTATTCAAACTTTGCTTATTGTTTTTAAAATATTTTTCTTTTAAAAAATGTATCATTATTATTATTATTATTTGAGATGGAGTCTTGCTCTGTTGCCCAGGCTGGAGTACAGTGGTGTGATCTCAGCTCACTGCAACCTCTGCCTCCCCGGTTCAAGCAATTCTTGAATTCCTCCCTCAGCTTCCTAAGTAGCTGGGATTACAGGTGCCCGCCGCTATGCCTGGCTAATTTTTTTTTTTTTTTTTTTTTTGTATTTTTAGTAGAAACTGTGTTTCACTATGTTGGCCAGGCTGGTTTCGAACTCCTGACCTCAAGTGACCTGCTCGCCTTGGCCTTCCAAAGAGTGCTAGGATTATAGGCGTGAGCCACCACGCCTGTCCTATTATTATTTTTTAATTGACATGGGGACTTACTGTGTTCCCCAGGCTGGTCTTGAACTCCTGGACTCAAAAGTCCTGGGATTACAGGCATGAGCCACTGTGCCCAGCCAAAAATAAACTATTTTTCTTTTATACAAATAGTATGTGGTCTTTGTGTTAGAAGTCACTGAAAAATAGAGAAAGGAAAAACCTTGATATATTCAAAGACAATAGCATTATTTTGTTTCCCCCCAATATACTTTTATTTACATTGTTCTTTTTTTTTTTTTGTATTGAGGCCATACTGTAGATGTAATTTTATATCCAGGTTTCAAAATTTCATATTCTAGTCCTAATGTTTACTCATTCTGTTAAAATTCCGAAGACAAGTATCCTTTTATTTATTTATTTATTTATTTATTTTTGAGATTGAGTCTTGCCCTGTCACCCAGGCTGGCGTGCAGTGGCACGATCTCAGCTCACTGCAACCTCCGCCCCCTGGGCTCAAGTGATTCTCCTGTCTCAGCTTCCCGAGTAGGTGGGATTTCAGGCATGCACCACCACACCCGGCTAATTTTTGTGTTTTATTTATTTATTTATTTTTGAGACAGAGTCTCACTCTGTTACCCAGGCTGGAGTGCAGTAGCGTGATCTTGGCTGACTGCAACCTCCGCCTCCCAGGTCAAAGTGATTCTCATGTCTCAGCCTCCCAAGTAGCTGGGCTTACAGGCATGCGCCACCACGCCCGGCTAATTTTTGTATTTTAGTAGAGATGTGGTTTCACCATATTGGCCAGGCTGGTCTCGAACTCCTGACCTCAGGTGATCCACCTGCTTCAGCCTCCCAAAGTGCTGGGATTACAGGCGTGAGCCACCGTGCCTGGCCAAGCATCCTTTTAGAGAGTGGCGTAATGTATCATGAGTGTGTCTCCCCTGTTGTTCTTATCACTCCTGTGTTGTTGGCTAGCACTCGTTTCTGGTTTTAGTTCCTGTCCTAGTCAGAGCTCCATGATGCTTTCTGCTCTGCTCCTAATGTTCTCTGAGTCCCTCTGAACCTGAGTTGAATGGTTGAATGTGTTTTTGAAATTAAGCAGCTTGTATGCAGTGCAAGTACTTCTTGGGTTTTGTACATCTAAGCCCAGCCTGCCATTTTGGAGAGCACTTTAGTGGTAAAATGATTCGAAACAGGCTTTCTCCCTCCCTGTGTGTAGGCCACCAGCCAGACAGATCTAGAAAACTGGGTCACTGCTGTACACTCTGCTTGTGCATCCCTTTTTGCAAAGAAGCATGGGAAAGAGGACACGCTGCGGCTGCTGAAGAACCAGACCAAAAACCTGCTTCAGAAGATAGACATGGACAGCAAGATGAAGAAGATGGCAGAGCTGCAGCTGTCCGTGGTGAGCGACCCAAAGAACAGGAAAGCCATAGAGAACCAGGTACTGTTTGTCTACACCTGAGTTTTCTTCCATTGCTCATGTCACTTGTGCAGTGACTGAACGCATGCTGTCATCTTGGTGGTATTTCTTGGCTCACATCTTGGTGGTATTTCTTACACCCTGGGGGAAATAATTTCTGTGGTTTTTCATTTTAGGTACCTAATGTTTGCCATTTTGTGACATGGGTGATATGATATGCTTTATGACCTTTGGCGGCTCTATGTATATACTGAAATATTTTGTGACCCAAACTTAATTCCTAATTTGAATAGTGCCTTCTGGCCTTGATGATTCACTCATATATTGTCATTTTCTGAACAAAATCCATACAATAAAACCACTAGAAGATTAGACAGGTAAGATTCTAATACAATAGCTTTGGAAAACGTGGTTTGGTGTAACAGCTGTTTCTGTGTCTATGGATTGCAAAAAAACAGTAATTTTTCTGGTTATAACAGAGAAGCACGTAACGAAATGCTTTCTTTTCTCTGCTGCGGTTCCATATTCATATAATAAATGGCTGCTTCCTATGGCATTTGCATTTTAGAGAAGGGAAAACAGTTTGAAAATTTTTATTTCCCTTTGCTCAGACAACCTAAACACTTAGACAAGTGTTAGTGGAATTTCGAGCATCCCTATCTTAGTCAGGTTTCCTAGGAGACAGACTTTGATAGTGATTTAGATGTAAAAAGTTTTACTGGGAATGCTCTCAGGGACAACGCCAGCCTGGAGTGAGGGAGCAGGATCTGGGAGGGACAAGTTGCATTGTGATGCAGCTTGTCCCACAGCGAGCTGTGGAGCTGGGAGGGCCATTCAGAGCTCTGCATGGAGGCAGGGTGGCCGGCCTTCGTCCCCTCAGGCCAGCAGGGCAAGGCAGCTCCCCTCAATAGAGGTGAGTTACCACGAGGGGATCTGTGTGTGAGCTGGGAAAAGGAAAGCAATGCCTCTGTCTTGAAGGGGGAATCCGGGTGATTCACTATAGAATCCACTACAGCCCCCTCCAAAACCAGTTGTCAAATGACCTGGGAACTTGAATGAGGAATGGGATGAAGATAGATAGTGAGCAGGTTCTTGCATTTTTCTTCCTTTAGTTACTTGTTAAGTTATTACAGAGAAACCAGTTTCTTTAGGAAAAAAAATTTCATGGTAACACAACAATTTAGACATAGTGTGACTTATTAGAAAGGAATTTTACATGTGGTGTTTTATTTAAATTGCAAATTAAATAATACCTCTGTTTATGTCTGAATGTTTAACCTTGTTTGGAAGTTTTTTCATCTGTGTATATATGAAGAATTCAGCATGAGGCTGGGCATGGTGGCTGACGCCTATAATCCCGGCGCTTTGGGAGGCCGAGGTGGGCAGATCACCTGAGGTCAGGAGTTTGAGACCAGCCTGGCCAACGTGGTGAAACCCCATCTCTACTAAAAATACAAAAATTATCTGGGCACGGTGGTGGGCGCCTGTAATTCCAGCTACTCTGGAAGCTGAGGCAGGAGAATCGCTTGAACCTGGGAGGCAGAGGTTGCAGTGAACCAAGATTGTGCACTGCACTCTAGCCTGGGGGAAGAGTGAGACTCTGTATAAAAAAAAAAAAAGAATTCAGCATGAGTAGGAAAAAATTTCTGTCTAAAAATAGGAAACTGATTAAAGGCATGCATTCAATGATACACCGAGAATTTGGAATAATGTATCAATTGGCAATAGCAAAATAACCAAATAATTCCGACCTCTGCCCCTCATTAATCTTCTCACTCTATCTACCTTTGCTTCTCCTTTTCTCATATCTCATGTTGCCTTTCTCCCATCTCAGCTCTTTCCCTCCTGCTTATTTTCCCATCTGCAAATACTGGTGTACCTAATAGATGCACCTGGCTTAAAGAAATAAAAATAATTGTAAAATATGGACCCCGTTTCTAAGAAATTA
Source organism: Homo sapiens (assembly GCF_000001405.40). Lineage (NCBI taxonomy): Eukaryota > Metazoa > Chordata > Mammalia > Primates > Hominidae > Homo > Homo sapiens. The sequence continues at coordinate 155,150,262 of NC_000006.12, forward strand.
TAATTTAGTTAGAGAGCAAGCCTTATGAACATGAAACTAAAGGTCATTCTAAAATGATCGAAGTTAGGTGACAGCTGGTATAGTCATCAAATATTATGGGAGATCAGAGGGTTGAGGTTGTACTGTGATCTTGAGGAAATGAAGACTTCCTGGAAGAATATGGTGTTAAAAAGTTGTTAAGAGGTGTGAAGGATTTCCAGGCTGGAAGGGTGTTGGGCGAGCATGGAGAGACAATTGGAAGTGACTGAGTGGTGGCTTGGGGCTCTGGAGCACACTGGAGTCAAAGGTTTGGGAAGTGACAAGAGTTGGCAGTTAGGTTGGATAGGCAATGAAGCTTTTTCAGTCTGTGTCTTAGTCTGGAACAAAATACTGTAAAGCGGGTGGCTTATAAACAAGAGCAATTTATTTCTCAGAGTTCTGAAGGCTGAGAAGTCCAAGATCAAGATGCCGGCAGATTCAGTGTCTGGTGAGGCCCTGCTTTCTGGTTTCTAGAAGCATCTTCTTAACTGTATTCTAGCATGACATGAGGAGCGAGGGATCTTTCCGGGCCGCGTTTTATAAGGCCATCCATCCTATTCACGAGGGCTCACCATTATGACTGTCGTGCGCAGTGGATTAAGCAGTGAAGGATGAAAGACACCGTAACTTAATGCTTGAATCACACAGTTTGTTGGCACGCAAACAGTTCTTAACAGATATTGGTATTTTATCCCCATTCACGCTACACACAACTCTTGTTTTTCACCCTGTTAGGAACAAGTCGGGGATCTTACATGAATAGGCACAGGATTGGTCACAGAAGTCCTCAGGCATCTGGGAATAGCTTCCCCTGGTATCAAGGCTGGAATGTTGAGGCTGAAGCATTCAGTCAAGGAGATGGCAAGCCTGACTCCGGGTCCCTTTCTGAGTGGCAGCATCTCATCCTCACGAGTCTGTGTCTCAGCAGAGCAGGTCGAGCTGCCTGAGGGCTTCTCTTTTTATAGTCCCTGTTTGGGGATCCACCTGTGTCTGGTTATCTTGAAGGTTGGTGCGCCCTAGCATGTGATGTCGTCTCAAATTGGAATATCCCAATGCAGTTGGTCTAAACAGATTTGGGCATTCTGGCAGACATCTGCACTTACAAACTAACTGTGATAACATATTTACACTATACCCATAAATTGCACTCCAAACAATGACCTAATCATTGCCCCTTTTAAAAAGGCCCCACTTCCTAATACCATCACCTAAAGCATTAAGATTTCAACGTACATATTTCGGAGGGACACATTCAGCCCATAGTGGTCTTGTATGCAAGGCTCAGATGGTAAGGTTTATTTTATACTCTGCTTTCAGGTGGGGGGATACAGGTTTTTAAGCTGAGGACAAAGCATGATGACTGTAGTGTCTTTGGAAGATTAATCAGGCAGCAGCTTGGAGGACAGAGTGGGGCAAAAGGTGTCAGGCAGTGGAGTGGCACTGTGCTGGGTGTATAGATACAAGGGCCTGGTCCCAAGTGACACAAGTTCAACAGTTTACATGGAAAATGTATAACAGGGTACATAATTTTCTGTAATTCTATAGAATCTTTTTTTTTTCTTTTTTTTTCTTTTTTTTTTTTGAGACAGAGTTTTGCTCTTGATGCCCAGGCTGGATTGCAATGGTGTGATCTTGGCTCATCTTAACCTCCACCTCCCAGGTTCAAGCGATTCCCATGCGTCAGCCTCCTGAGTAGCTGGGATTACAGGCGCCCGCCACCACGCCCGGCTAATTTTGTATTTTTAATAGAGACGGGGTTTCACCATGTTGGTCAGGCTGGTCTCGAACTCTGACCTTAGGTGATCCGCTTGCCTCAGCCTCCCAAAGTGCTGGGATTACAGGTGTAAGCCACCACGGCTAATCTCAATTTTTTAGAATCTTAAAGACAGTAACTTACACCCCTGAGCGGAACTGTTGCTCAACCAGGATATGCCATTTAAACTCCAAAGTACAAAATAGTTTTAACGAGGAAGCCAAAACTGCCAAGAAGAATGCAGGAGGTGGAAGGCTTTGGGATCCAACAAGAACACAGCTGCTGACATTGCTGAGGGAGAGCTGCCCCCACGAGCCCAGCTTGCCTCCTCTCAGGCCCTGCCTGCCCCTCTTAAGGGGCCTCACCCTGCTCACAGCCAGGGGGCGTTCAGCTCCCGAGGCAGTGCAGCCGTACCTCCCCGCTCTCTGTCTGTGTGGAATGTAGGTTGGGAGTCCATGTGGAGGTGATGGGACAGATCAAAGAGCCTGAAGGAGACACGGTTATCCCAGAGTTTTCTTTGTACCATGTCTCATCCATGGTGCTGATTTTCCAGGATCCGGCAGCCACAGCCTGTCTATCCTGAGATGAGACTTGTGGATCCGAGTGTCTCAGAGTGTTCAGAGCACCCCAGTCAAAAATCTCATCCTGACCATAATCGTAGTCGAAGGGATGCCCAGCTTGGAGTTTTCAGGTCTTTGGGTAGGGTCAGATGTTTAGGGCTAGGGAGAGAAAAGGGACATTTGGCAACACTGAGAGGCTCCTGGCCTGTTGTGTGTGTGTGGTGGTGGTGGGTGGGGGTTTCTCTGTGGCCACAAGGAGTCTAAGCAGACATTTTTTTAAAAATTTAAATTTGCATTAAATGTAATTGTATTCCCTTGTCCATAGTTTGTAAATGTTTAATTGATGACATCATAGTTGGTGCTATTCTCTGATTAAGAGGGGAGGTTACTTGAACATAAACCCTTACATAAATCCAGGGGTCTGGATGGTCAGGTGGCCTGAAGAGAAACTGTTTTAAAGAATGAGGGTAATTATCACTTGTGGTCCATTATCCATTCTTTGACAGAATCATCACTTTAGTTATTTTAAGTGCACCTTTCTAATGCTACTAATTTTTCATTTTTGGTTCTCCCCTCCCCATAGCCCAGGCCCTAACCCCTTCCTGTGTCCTCCCCACACTCCCTTCTCCCCTACACCCTTCTCCCAACCCCTGCCGTACATGCACTCCCTTTCTCATGTTAGTCTTGTGAGTTTCTGGTAACAGACAATTGGGATTGATTTTAGAAATTCTTGTCCAGGCACGGTGACTCACACCTGTAATCCCAGTACTTTGGGAGGCTGAGGCTGGAGGTTCATTTGAGGCCAGGAGCTCAAGATCAGGTGGGGCAACACAGCAAGACCCTATTTCTGAAAAAGAAAAAAAAAAGAAATTCTACCTGGAAGTATTCTCCTCACCGTATTGCACTCTTTGAGGTTATGATTTAGTCACATGTTCCTGAAGGGCTTTGTAGTGTGTAGCCTGAGTTATGTTTGCTGTGCCCGCTGTCCTTGCATCCTTTGTCAGCAGGTTGTAAAGGAGCTGTTTACGCTTTTTTTTTTTTTTTTTTTTGACAGAGTCTTGCTCTGTCACCCAGGCTGGAGGGTAGTGGCGCAATCTCAGCTCACTGCAACCTCCACCTGCTGGATTCAAGCAATTCTCCTGCCTCAACCTCCCGAGTAGCTGGGATTACAGGCACCCACCACTACGCCCAGCTAATTTTTGTATTTTTAGTAGAGATGGGGTTTCACCATGTTGACCAGGCTGTTCTCAAACTCCTGACCTCAGGTGATCTGCCTGCCTCGACCTCCCAAACTGGTGGGATTACAGGCGTGAAACCACTATACCTGGCCAAGAGCTGTTTACTTTTTACCTTCAGACACAAAGACTGGGAAGCATTAAGCAGGAACAAGTACTTGCTTAAAATTGCTTTTATGAGATATTTGACAAAAAAATGTAATGTGAAGCCACAAAGGCAAAGGTATTTACAGATCAAGACCAATCAGGACAGGGTCTCCAAAATATTCCCTAAGCATTTAGCTTTCTCTAAACTTCCTTTTAAAAATATCTGTAAAAGAGCAGTGCTTTATCCACTTAGCATTTTAAAACCTCAATAAATATACATTTATTTATGTAGCTTCCTCCCCAGCGGTTTTCCCTGAAAACCTCAGATGTAGTCATTTCTAGCCTAAAAATAGAATGTGCAATGTAGGTGACATCATGCAACAGAAATTCTCTGGAACAGGTTTTCTTCGAAGTACGTGGGTGGAGAAGATCCTTTTTGAAATAAAAAGGCACTATCGCAGTTGTAACATACCGGCTGAGCTACATACGGTCAGTGGTGACATGCTCTGGCCGTGTCCTGGGCCTCTTGGGTGTTTCTGGGGCAGGATGATGCAGCTTTCATTTGAGCATGTCCAATGTGGACCAGATCACACCGCCATCCACACGCCAGATCGCCTTTGAAGTTCCCAGGGAGGAAGAGTTGTAAATTAAGTCCAGTTAGTACTTTATTTGCCTTTCTGCTTATTATTTCAAACAAGTAAACAAGGACAAAACCTCACCACCCTTAGGCAGTCTTGGCATTCTCCCAGATGGCATCCCCCATCCTGCCTCATTATGTGCGATTTCCAGGGTAGACAGGCCTGCTTCTGTGGTTAATTAGGCTGGGGAGGGAGGAGGTGGTTGGACTACCAGGGGTTGCTGTGGGGAAGGAGGAAGCACTTGCTGGTAGGGTTCAGACTGCTCTGGGTTTTATGAAATGTGGGCTTCAGTTTAAATATTTACTTAAATACAGTTTTAAAATCATAAAGAGGACGGATTGCGTTTGGACAATTGGCAACTGGTGAAGAGAACAATGAGAACAAGGCTTTGAGGAAAATACGAGGATACTGTGGTGTATTTCTGGATGTGTACAGGGGGAAGCAGTTTGAGGAACAAACCACTGGAGTGTAGCATATTTGTGAGGGGATTTGAGGGAGATAAAGTCAGATTGTGGAGGTGGTGGGTGAAGATGTGAACTTTATTCAATAGGCAATAGGGAGATGGTGAAAGTGTTATTTTTTATTTTTTATTTTTTAAGGCAGGCAATAGGGAGATGGTGAAAGTGTTATTTTTTATTTTTTAAGGCAGAGTCTTGCTGTGTTGCCCAGGCTGGAGTGCAGTGGCATGGTCTTGGCTCACTGCAACCTCTGCCTCCTGAGTTCAAGTGATTCTCGTCCCTCAGCCTCCCAGGCAGCTGCGATTACAGGCATGTGCCACTACGTCCTGGTAATTTTTGTATTTTAGTAGAGATGGGATTGGCCATGCTGGTCTCAAACTCCTGACCTCAACTGATCCGCCTGCCTCAGCCTCCCAAAGTGCTGGGATTACAGGTGTGAGCCAGTGTGCCCAGCTGGAAGTGTTTTTATTTTCTATTTTTTTGAAACGGAGTCTTTCTCTGTCGCCCAGGCTGGAATGCAGTGGTGTGATCTCGGCTCACTGTAGCCTCTGCCTCCAGGGTTCCAGTGATTCTCCTGCCTTAGCCTCCTGGGTAGCTGGGATTACAGGCGTACGCCACCACACCCGGCAAATTTTTGTATTTTTTGTAGAGACGGGGTTTTGCCATGTTGGCCAGGCTGGTCTCGAACTCCTGACTTCAGGCAATCTGCCCGCCTTGGCCTCCCAAAGTGTTGGGATTACAGGCATGAGCCACCGCTCCCAGCCTGGAAATGTTTTTGTTAGGAGAATAAGAATGTTTGGTTTAGTTAAATGAGCGTTTGTTCGGTGCATACTCTGGGTCAGGCAAATGTGCACAGACTGGAGACTCAAAGAAGTCACTGTCTCTGCCCTCAGTGACAGTGGCACTGCTAGAGAGAGTGCTAGAGCCTTCAGTGACAGTGGCACCTGCTAGAGAGAGGTGACAGACAGTTGAGCTCTCAGTCTAGCAGGTGACAGACAGTTGAGCATACAATTTCAACATAACACAGTGATTCAGTGCACGTGGCATTCCAGTGCTGTGGAAGACAGAAATGGGAAATATAGCCTCATGTGCAGTCATGGAAGACCCTGGAGGAGGGAGGCCAAGTTGCTTCTTGAAAAATGAGGAGTTTACCGGGAGAATAGAGAGGGGTCTTCCAGGCCAAGGCACAGTGGGAGCAAATGCAGTGTGGTTTTAGGTAGGTGGTGAGAGGTAGACAGGGGAAGTAGGACTGTCTGTCACTCTCTCCTCCCGGTACCACTGCAGAAGCCTCCGGTTTCGCCCTTCGTCTGATGCATCTTCCATACAACAGCCAGACTGGGTTGCATCGGAAAAGCACATCTGGGTCAGGTGCAGTGGCTCATGCCTGTAATCCCAGCATTTTGGGAGGCCAAGGTGGGCGGATCACTTGAGGTCAGGAGTTCAAGACTAGCCTGGCCAATGTGGTGAAACCCCGTCTCTACTAAAAATACAAAAATAATTAGCCAGGTGTCGTGGCGCATACCTGTAATCCCAGCTACTCGGGAGGCTGAGGCAGGAGAATCGCTTGAACCCAGGAAGCAGAGGTTTCCATGAGCTGAGATCACACCATTGCACTCCAGCCTGGGCAACAGAGTGATATGTCTCAAAATAAATAAATAAATAAATAAAGTAAAAAAATAAAAAGCACATGTGATCCTGTGATTGCCAGATAAAGTCCCTGATAACCTCTCCCCACCTTGACCTTTATCTGCAACTCCCTGAGCCCACCCTTCTGCTCCTTTCTTTGGGTTTTTCCTCAGGCAGAGAGGACTCCTGTGCTGTGCACAAATGTGCCCTGCTCCCCTCCGCCCTCTTCATCTGGCTCACCCCTTCTCGACTGTCATGAAGGGTTTAGGGGTCGCTTCCTCCAAGGCGCTGTCCTTGATCGCCCTTTTGCCCACTCCATCAGGGAGCCCCACTCTCCTCCCACAGTTCTCCATGTCTGTGCCACTGCTGTCATCCATGGCTTTGTCATGATTTCTTCGTGTGTAAGGTTGCTCCTGCTATAAAATACGTGCTCCTGGAGGAACCGTGTCTGTTTTTTTATCTCTGAACCCTCGATGCCTTGCTTGAGTTAGTGAATGTGTGGAAGCACCTCTGTCTCGTCTGTCCAGGGATGCTGTCCTCTGTACTGCAGGAAACAGAGATCTTCTCTGAGTCAGCCACCACCCCACTTCCCAGTGTTCCAGGCCTTCCTGCTTCACCCCCGTCTAACAGAACGCCTCCTTTTGCCCTGCCTTGTTCTCATGCTCCCCTTCCTTGTTTTATCAGAGCCTCTGCCTTAGGCCACTATCATATGTGATTTCACAATAACTCTGCAAGGTAAAGATGTAGATATAGCACCCGTTTGTTGGATGAGTAAATAGACCCTTAGGAGAAGTATATTTCTTTTCTTTTTCTTTCTTTTTTTTTTTTAGAATTAAAAATTTTTTTAAAAAATAGAGACGAGGTCTCGCTATGTTGCCCAGGTTGGTCTCGAACTCCTGGGTGCAAGCGATCCTCCTGTCTCGGCCTCTCAAAGTGCTGGGATTATAGGAGTGAGCCACTGCACCCAGACGAGAAGTACATTTTCCGTATAAGTACCGTGCACTAACTGATTGCGCCACTGGAGCACCAAGAAGTGCATTTGCTAATGTCACACAGCTGGTAAGTGGTAGAGCTGGGATTTGGACACAAATCTTTGCTCCTAATTCATAGGCGCTACTGCTCCGTAAGACTTGGGTAAATCAGATGGTGCTTTGCTTGCTAACTAAACCAGGTGATGAATTGTTTTGTGTGGAATAGAATCCTTGATTTACTTGTTTTTATAACTTGGATTTTTCAGGTCGATTTGATGGGAATTACATTGATTATAAAACTGAGTGAATTTTTGGGTATGGGAATTATATCTCAAAGGAAAACAGAACAAAACCGAATCTCTCTACTTTAGCTGGTTGTTCTAAATACTGTTAAACTTGAGTGTCATCTATGTCACTAGCTGGTTCTTCTGTGAAGATAGGTTTTAGTATTTGGAAAGCATGGAACGGGAGTTTTTCAGCTTCTTACACCAAGAAAGAAACATGAATTATCTTATGGGACAAACCTAGTAATAGGCAAATGACTACTGCGATTAAATGACTAAATGGCAGAAAATATTTTTCTAGGACTGCTGGGTGTGGCAGGAATGTACTTGTCATCTTTTAAAAAAAAATCATTATTCATTTGTTATTTTTAGCATTAGGCTTCATCCCTCTCCCTCCCACTTTACTACAGGAGACCATAACCTTTCTGAGTTCATTAAATCAGTAAAGCTGTGTTAGCAATAAAGAGGAAAATTTTGCATTGAATTTGTGCCAATGTTTAAAAATGGGAGTGTTCCCCTGTAATTTTGTTATTAGTAACTTCCTTTCACAATGAAAGATAATGAAAACCTTCTCAGAGTGAGTTTTTTTCAGTCTTGTCTTTTTTATGTTTTGAGCATGGGCATTAAAAGAAACAAAAGCTCAATCTATATAGAAGTTATGTTTTTTACTTTTTTTTTTTTGACAGGGTCTCACTCTGTTGCCCAGGCTGGAGTGTGCAGTGGCCCTGTCTCGGCTCACTGCAGCCTCAACCTCCTGGGCTCAAGCTATCCTCCCACCTCTGCCTCCCACATAGATGGGGCTACAGGTGTGCACCAACCACACCTGGCTGAGTTTTGTGTTTTTTTATAGAGACGGGGTTTCACCACGTTGACCAGGCTGCAAGTGTTTTTTTTTTTCTTTTTATATCATATCTTGATGTTTATCTTTAAATAATAAGGAAACATCTAGAAACTTATCAGTATTTAAAGAATTTAGGAAAAGGGGGTGGGATGTCTTGGATTAAAAGGAACTGATTTTAGGCATTCTAGTTTTTGATGTTAGAAAAAAATATCTCCAGAAACACCTTGATAAATGTGGTCAGGTAATACATTACTATTTTGGTGATTATTATCATTGAACTGTACTGAATCTCTAAACTAACATACATAATAGCTAAAAGATTGTCTTTTTTTCCTTTACCCTTTAAAATATGTATCTTTGTCTTTCTTTTATGTCACCTTCTGAAGAATTGTTATAAAATGTTTTTCTTTCAAGTTAACATTACTTTAAATTTGGGCTGGCTTTGAATGTCAAGGCTGGTAGGATATTGAAATGTAAAGTGTTCAATATGAATAGGGCCACTGAGTGAGAGTGTGGTAGTCTTACCTCCTTCTCTGTAGAATACCTGGGGGTATATGGGCAGACATAAAGTGGACAGGTAAAAATGTAAATGAAAGTTGCTAAGGTCACTATGAGGATAGTGCACAGGTATCTTCCTATGAGTCAGAAGACCTGGGAATCAGGGGCCCCGTTATAGCTACTTGAGAGGGTCCCTGTCCCCTACATGTTGTTCACATCAGAATCGGCTTTGGGTCTGCTAGTCTGGTAGGGTGAGCTTTTTACATGACTGGTCAAATTGCTTCTCTTCTGGACTTAAGTCTCAACTGCTGAGAAATGAAGGTATGGTAATACCAAGTCCCTTGCAATTTCATTGTGAATGTTAACAGCCTTTCTAAATACTATAAGGTCTGTTGTGAGCCTTTGGGTCCAGCACTTGTACCTCTTCTTCCCTCTAAGGAACCCGAGCTTCTGAATCAGGGGCCTCACCGTACTTTTACTTGAATACTCTTTCAAGTTCCTCTCTACAACTTTGCTGAGTCTGTGGAAAGAAAAGTCAAATATTTCATATTGATTATTTAACCACAGATCTTCATTTAAGCTCTGGAACTGATTCTTTCTATAAAGAACCATGACCTTAAAAATAAGATGACTATGATCTTTCAATATGGAATAGATACGTGAGTAAAGATGGCTTACTCTGCCACAAAGATCTATAGGGATGAAGGCTGTATATAAGTCAGGGGTCTCCAGAGAAACAGAAACAGTAGGATGTGTGTATACCTGAAGAGGTGTGTGTGTATGTGTTTGTGTAGGGAGAGAATGAGAGAAATTTATTATAAGAAATAGGCTCATGCAGTTATGGAGAAGAGCAAGTCCCAAGATCTGCAGGGTAAGTCAGTAAGCTGGAGACCTGGGAGAGACAATGGTATAGTTCCAGTCTGAGTCTAAGGCATGAGAATGAAGACAGCTGATGGTGTAGTTCTAGGCTGAAGACTGGTAGGCTCAAGATTGAGGAAGAGCCCATGTTTTGTTCAAGTCCAAAGCCAAGGGGGAAAAAAAGCCAGTGTCCCAGTTTGAAGGCTGTCAGGCAGGAGGAGTTCTCTCTTACTTGAGGGGGTGTCAGCCTTTTTGTCCTCTTCAGGTGGTCAACAGATTGGATGAGGCCCACCCACATTAGGGAAGGCAATCCGCATTACTCAGTCTACCCATTTAAATGTTAATATCTCCCAGAACATCCTTGGAGACACACCCAGAATAATGTTTGACTAAATACCTGGTCACCCCGTGGCCCAATCAAGTTGGTACATAATATTAACCATTACGCGGGTGGATCGCTTTGAACTCAGGAGTTTGAGACCAGCCTGGGCAACATAGTAAAACCCTGTCTCTACAAAAAAAATGCAAAAATTAGCCAAGCATGGTGGCATGCACTTGTGGTCTTGAGAGGCTGAGTTGGGAGGATCACTTGAGCGCAGGAAGCAGAGGTTGCAGTGAGCCAACAATGTACCACTGCATCCCCAGCTGGGGTATCAGAGTGAGACCATGTCTCAAAACAAAAACAAAAACAAACAAACAAACAAAAAATCACTCCAGTCAGGATAAGGTTAAGAAGGATAAGGAACATTGTTGAAATAGAGAAGTCATAAGGTTACTTTTCCTTTGCATTTTCTACTAAATTAAATTTTAAATGAACTTTACAGTGTACAGTTTATTGAGATACTGGTTGTCTTGAAACTTAATAAGATACAATCAAGACAACAAACGTCTTGATTTTTATAAGGTCTCCTTTGGGCTATTGGGGTGTCCCAGCCCTGTTGACTTTCCAACAAACCTAAGCATCTGGGTCCATGTTCTCCCTCTGAATTCACCTGTATTTTGTCCCAAGATTTGGGTGGAGAGGTCTATGAGTGCTGAAGATTATTAAAGTGTTTCTGATAAAACTTTATGATTCCCTGTGTATCCCTGTGTGCTCATTCCCGATCTGAGCCGGGGTATCGGGTCTCACTCTGATAACCCCAGCTGGGGATGCAGTGGCACATTGTTGGCTCACTGCAACCTCTGCTTCCTGTGCTCAAGTGATCCTCCCAACTCAGCCTCTCAAGACCACAAGTGCATGCCACCATGCTTGGCTAATTTTTGCATTTTTTTGTAGAGACAGGGTTTCACCATGTTGCCCAGGCTGGTCTCAAACTGTCTTTACCTCTCAGTACTGCTTTGATGTGTAGTCACATAAGTACATTAAATAGTGCTGTTAAAAATACTTTTAAAACTACAGGATTCAGTGCAAATACAAGAGATTGTCTTCTTCCCCAACCTGTGGTGATTGGCATAGACCTGAATTTTATTTTATTTTGTCTTTTTTTTTTTTTTTCTGAGATGGAGTCTCACTCTGTTGCCCAGGCTGGAGTGCAGTGGTGCGATCTCAGCTCACTGCAGCCTCCACCTCCGGGGTTCAAGCAATTCTCCTGCCTCAGCTTCCTGAGTAGCTGGGATTACAGGCGTGTGCCACCACACCTGGCTAATGTTTTTTTTTTTTTGTATTTTTAGTAGAGATGGGGTTTCACCATGTTGGTCAGGCTGGTCTTGAACTCCTGACCTCCAATGATCTGCCCGCATCGGCCTCCCGAAGTGCTGGGATTACAGACGTGAGCCATCACTCCCGGCCTTTTTTGTCTTTTTAATCCACCATGGATTGCATGGGCATCTTTACCTTCTGGTATCCAGTGACTCATTCATTTTCTTTTTCTTTCCTTTTTTTCTTTTTGGAGACAGTCTCGCTCTGTCACCCAGGCTGGACTGCAATGGCGTGATCTCAATTCACTGCAGCCTCCACCTCTTGGGTTCAAGAGATCCTCCCACCTCAGCCTCTCAAGTAGCTGGGACTACAGGCATGCACCACCATGCCTGGCTAATTTCTGTATTTTTTGTAGAGACAGGATTTCGCCATGTTGCCCAGGCTGGTCTCAAACTCCTGGGCTCAAGCAGTCTGCCCACCTCGGCCTCTCCAAGTGCTGGGATTACAGGCATGAGCCACTGTGCCTTGCCGACTCATTCATTTTCTTTCCTCTTATATCTTCACCCTCCATACAACCTTCAGAAAATATCTGATAAACTGTTTTACAGTGAGGCATAAATGAGTGTGATAAACTTTAATGCATTATCCAATCTAGAAATATCTACATATTATTAGAAGACAAAGGAATCCATCTATAATTGTGGACTTTCAGGAATCATCTGGAGAGAAGATGTTTGGGAAACAGAACTGAGATGATAGTTTTTACTGAACCTTAAGTAAGGTGTCAGTTTGTGCCCATCCATCACTCTGAAATCTGGAATTCTCTAATATGGCAGGACCAGGAAGAGACTTGCAGTTTCAATTTGAACTGTCTTGTTAGCGTAGAACAGGAGTCATCAGTAATAAGGCCATGCACCAGAATCCCAGAAGGTGCTCATGAAATGTAAACTTTCCTAGGCCTCAGACCTAATGGATAAAATCTTCAGGCGTAGGACCTGGGCATCTGCATTTTTAAAAGCCAACAGGTCATTCTGTCCATTCAAGGCTGATACCAGTAGGCCACCACGTTGCTAATAGGGGTATACAGGATCTTGAGTGAGGTTAAATTCTTTATGGATGTTGACATTGTTTCAATGCACCTTGGAATGTCACTGTTTTGCTGACAAATGATGATGATTAAGAAATTCTTTGTTTAGATCTTGTGACTGTTTTTCTTTCATGCAGAAAAGTTGTGCAGCGACCAACCTAAGAAATAGCTACAGAGAACTTGGAAAAGGTCTGGGGAATGCCCAGAATTTGTAATACTTGTCTATGGGGAGAGACTGGAGGGGGCAGAGTGTCCAGTGTTGGAAATCCTTCAAAGTATTATTTATCCAGAATGAAGGATTCACCTAGAAAGCTTGGTGTGAAAGGCTAGGATCTGTCTGGGTGCTCAGCAACATGGCAGAACTAGAGATGCAACTGGTGCACCTGAAATAACCTAACTCTTCACACTGCATCCTTGATTACAAGCGTTCACTTACAGACCTTCTCTTGAGTGTTGAGATTGCGCTCAACAGCTTTTGAATCACAGCTTTCTGTTCTTCTCGTTCTTCTGCTGAGTCCCTGTGTTGGCAAGTCACAAGAGCCTCTCTTCACCTATTATTAATAACTTATCTTTGCATGAAGGTAATACTTGTAGGTAATGCATTTTATATCTTTGGGAGAAAGGAGAGTGGCTCCCAGAGTTTGGCTGCATTTCTTTACCAACTCATGACTTAAGTTTTGAAGAAGTTCATAGTAACTTCTGTGGTGTAAACAGCTGCATATACTTTAATTTTATTTAGATGTACAGATGGCAGTTATTCTCCAAGATACTTACTTAGGAGTATACTCAGTAAAATTCTATTTGTCCTTATCCCTGAAGTCCATTTGCTTCTTATTGTTTTGAGTCATTTACTCAGAATGAACAGAAACATAAAGTCATTGCTTTTATTTATCTGGCATCTGTTTGTGTGCAGTTCAGTTAATCCAGTTTAGGATCAGGGACTGTAAATGTGAAGGGAAATGAAGCAAAGTGAAAAAGCTGACTTGCAAATTGCATCCTGTTTTAAGTCAGGATGGTTTAGAGTGTTGGCATTCTCCAAACAAACATCATGCCTTTTTGGCATGTCACTGTATTGGGACCACCAGCTTTTTGTTTTTGTTTTTGTTTGGCTATCCTGATGAAATGAAGTGCTGGATGACCCAGTGCATTTTGTTTTTTTTTTTGAGACGGAGTCTTGCTTGGTTGCCCAGGCTGGAGTGCAGTGGCATGATCTTGGCTCACTGCAACCTCCGCCTTCTAGGTTTAATCCATTCTCCTGCCTCAGCCTCCAGAGTAGCTGAGATTACAGGTGCCTGGCACCACACCAGCTAATTTTTGTGTTTTTTTTTTTTCTTTTTTTTAGTAGAGATGGAGTTTCACTGTGTTGGTCAGGCTGGTCTCAAATGCCTGACCTTCAGTGATCTGCCTGCCTCGCTTTCCAAAGGACCCAATGCATTTTGATGGGAGGGATTGAGATGGGGTGAGCAGGAAAGGCTAATTTAAACCATGCAGACCAGCCGAAACTAATTTTTTCTTCAAGTTTGTGAAAGGGATCACATTTTCGTTTTAACCTGTGAAAACTTTTAATTTTTATTTAAATCACCTCTGTTTTTGCTTTAAGATCCAGCAATGGGAGCAGAATCTTGAGAAATTTCACATGGATCTGTTCAGGATGCGCTGCTATCTGGCCAGCCTACAAGGTGGGGAGTTACCGAACCCAAAGAGTCTCCTTGCAGCCGCCAGCCGCCCCTCCAAGCTGGCCCTCGGCAGGCTGGGCATCTTGTCTGTTTCCTCTTTCCATGCTCTGGTAAGTTCCTGAGGAAGGCTGTTTCTGCAGCATTCGGGGAGGGCTGCGGATGCTCCCCCTTTCTTCAGCTTGTTGCCATCGGCACTTGTGGGGCTTGACCCAACAACTGACACCTAGAGGCCAGGTCACCCAGAGGCCAGGGGCCTGGAGATGAAGGAGACCAGACGTCGTGCTGTAGAGCCCCCGGTTTCTCTACTGCTTATTCTAGAGTCCAGCAGCTAGTGGACAGTTACTGCATGCTCATCTCTGCCTTTCTGTGTATTCCACCATCAGGAAAGTGGGATCCTGGAGAAGGGGCAACAGTGGTGTGAAGATTAAAGGATGGATTAAAGGTTGTTTTCTCTGTCCTGCAGAGCGCCCCATCAGGTTTTTTGAAGTCGTACCCATTTTGGTGGCTTCTGTGTGTTGTGTTGGCTCAGCCTAGGGGTCTGTAGTGGTTTTGCTGACGCTGCTGCCCACCATGGAGAGAGCTGACTGTCATGACTTGTGTTATCCAGATGAGAGTGGTCTATATGATGGATGCTTTCCTGGTATTTCAGACATGCAGGAGCTTTTGGCGATAGTCAGAATGCATTTATAGCAAGCAGAGCTCACTTCCTTCATTTTTTCTGCCACTCAAATACTAAGCCTTTAGATTTTTTTTAAACTGTGTTTTACATTAGGTATGTTCTAGAGATGACTCTGCTCTCCGGAAAAGGACACTGTCACTGACCCAGCGAGGGAGAAACAAGAAGGGAATATTTTCTTCGTTAAAAGGGCTGGACACACTGGCCAGAAAAGGCAAGGAGAAGAGACCTTCTATAACTCAGGTGAGCTTTTCAGCATGGGAACAGCAGACTAGAGTGAAATTCCTGAAACCCCTAATTTTCGGCCTGCTATGAATCATCAATGTTCATTCTCTGTTAAGAATGAAATGAGGCGAGGTGGGGTGGCTCACGCCTGTAATTCTAGCACACTGGGAGGGCAAGGCAGGAGGGCCACCTGAGCCCAGGACTTCAAGACCAGCCTGGGCAACAGAGTGAGACCCCATCTCTACAAATAGCCGAGTGTGGTGGTGTGCGCCTATAGTCCCAGCTACTCGGGAAGCTGAATTGGGAAGATCGCTTGAGCCCGGGAGGTTGAAGCTGCAGTGAGCCATGATTTTGCCACTGTACTCCAGCCTGAGTGACAGAGCGAGACCCCGTCTCAAAAATAAAAATGAAAATAAAAGTTGATTCAAAGGAATCAACTCTTAGCATGCACTTTTTTTTTTAACCCAACGAAACTGCACAAGTTGCCGTATCTATCCCGGCACCCCTGAAGAGGTAGTCACACTGCGTGCAGTGCTTAAGAACAGAAAAAATAAGAATAATCAGAAAATAATCCACACTTTTCCTTCCCTCTAGTACTAATATTTACTTTCTCATAGATTTTATATTAAAATAAATGGAAAATTAATAATCAGAGGAGTGGCAGCTCAGTTCTGTTGATAGAGCTGTGGATTTTGCTCACTAAATCCTTAGAACATGGCCTTGGGGTTTTGTCATCCCATTTTAGAGACGAGCAGACTGACACTTGAAGAGGTTACGTCACTTACCTTATCCTGTTCACCAGCACCAAAGGGCAGGGCCAGGACTAGTTTCTGCCTAAGTCCACGGTCTTGAAACACTGGAAAATTGCTAGTGCTTATTTTCCCTTGGGGAAAGGTGACTCTTGCAACACTTTCTTTTTCTTTTCTTCTCTTTTTTTTTTTTCTTTTTTTGAGATGGAGTCTTGCTCTGTCACCCAGGCTGGAATGTAGTGGTGTGATCTTGGCTCGCCGCAACCTCTGCCTCCTGGGTTCAAGTGATTATCCTGCCTCAGCCTCCTGAGTAGCTGGGACTATAGGTGCACACCACCATGCCTGGCTAATTTGTGTATTTTTAGTAGAGACAGGGTTTCACCTGTTGGCCAGGCTGGTTGTGAACTCCTGACCTCAGGTGATCCACCCACCTGGGCCTCCCAGAGTGCTGATTACAGGCGTGAGCCACCGTGCCTGGCCTCTTCTAACATTTTTATTAAGGAAAAATAGTCTAAGCACATGTTATGTGAAATGTGGCCCAAGTATCGTAAATTGTTTTCAAAACATTTTGAATATGTGTATTTCATGGTGCACCTGTATTTCATGATGCAGGTGCATGATAATGGACTTTATCTTGCTGATTGATATGTTTTAGGATTATTCTGTTTCAAAGCTGTTGAAAAAATAAGTTATATGATGACCTGATCATTCAGGTGAATAGGGAAATTGTTTGCAATTAAATCTGAAGAAGTTTTTGCTTTTATTTTCAATGAGCTGCTGTTTTTCTGATTATATTTTCAATATCATTGGAAAGAGAGTCACATTTTATTGGATCTTTGTTTTCTAATTTGTATATGGCTATTTGATAACGCTTTTGTGAATTGGGTAAGTAAAAGGGCCAGTATCAGTTCCTTTGACTTGTTTAAAACCTTAAAACAATAAAGTTAGAGGTGGTGGAGAGTGGGTTGGTAGATTAACAGACAGCAGAATCACAGGAAACTTTTCTTATGTGGCCACCATGTTTATATACTCATATACAAAAATAATATCAGATTTTAAAATTGTGGTTCTACTTGTAATTAATTTTTTTTTCTTTTTTGAGACAGAGAGTCTCTCTGTCACTCAGGCTGGAGTGCAGTGGCACGATCTTGGCTCACTGCAACCTCCACATCCTGGGTTCAAGCAATTCTCGTGCCTCAGCCTCCCAAGTAGCTGGGACTACAGGCTTGAGCCACCACACGTGGCTAATTTTTATATTTTTAGTAGAGACAGGGTTTCACCATGTTGGCCAGGCTGGTCTCAAACTTCTGGGCTCATGTGATCCACCTGCCTCTATCTCCCAAAGTACTGGGATTACAGGTGTGAGCCACTGTGACCAGCCTGTAATTTAATTTAATTTAATTGTAAAGAGTAATCTTATTTGTTGGTTGTAATGGAAATGTATTTCCTCATTATTGACTGTAGTCAACTGCAAACCCTTTGCTAATGGTGGGCCTATGCTTTCTTTATTTTTTAAAAATTGTTTTTGTAGAAATGGGGATGGGAGTGGTCTCCCTATGTTGCCCAGGCTAGTCTCAAATTTCTGGCCTCAATCCATCTTCCCACCTCAACCTCCCAAAGTCCTGGGATTACAGGTCTGAGCCATAACACCGAGCACTTATGTTTTGTGAACTGAACTTCTTTGATGGTTAACTAATGTCCTTAAGGTATTTTAATCAAGACAGTATATTCGATATAAATAATAACTTGATAAATAACTTGCTTATTTTTTCTTAGGTGTAGACATTCTGCTAATTAGATATGAGCCTAATATGGTTTTTACCCAGCATCTGTGGTAATTTGTTCTCAACATAGACTTTTTGATAAACAAAAGCATTTGGTCGAACATTTTTTGTTTTAAAAAGATATGAAACTAATTACAGTGTCAGTATTTATATAACTGAATGAAGTTGATTTAGTAGGTATTTCTAAGTGTTTATATTGTTTTTAATGTTAATTATGCCATTACAAAATTTAGAAGGTGAAATTTGGAAAAGGCAATTGTTTTTAATTCTTCTACCCAAACAAACCACTTTTAACATTTAGCTATATTTTCTTCCAAGATTTATTCTGTGCACATTAAAAAAAGTAGGTATGAGCTTGATTTTGTTGGTTCTGTTTCACACCTTCAGAAACATGTACTTTTTGGTTAAAAGCATATCAAGAATGAATTTATTTATTTATTTATTTATTTATTTGATACAGTCTCGTGCTGTTGCCCAGGCT
The DNA here is from genome assembly GCF_000001405.40 of Homo sapiens. Classification (NCBI taxonomy): domain Eukaryota; kingdom Metazoa; phylum Chordata; class Mammalia; order Primates; family Hominidae; genus Homo; species Homo sapiens. The sequence goes on from NC_000006.12 coordinate 155,168,406, forward strand.
GCAGTGCAGTGGCATGATCTCAGCTCACTGCACCCTCCGCCTCCCGGGTTCAAGTGATTCTCTGCCTCAGCCTCCTGAGTAGCTGGGACCACAGGCGGGTGCCACCACATCTGGCTAATTTTTGTATTTTTAATGGAGATGAGGTTTCACTCTTTTGGCCAGGCTGGTCTTGAACTCCTGACCTCAGGTGATCTACCCACCTCAGCCTCCCAAAGTGCTGGGATTACAGGCCGACTTAAATAATAGATGACATAAAAAAGTAAAACGTAACTATGCGGGAAATAAAAACTTTAAGTGTATTAGAATAATGATACAAATTGTGATATGAAGCTCTTCTAAAATGTTATAGAACTTTAGTTTTTAAATAATGAAAAAGGGTAGCTGGCAGATGAATATTACAGGGCCATTTCATTAGTCTTTTTCCTCCCCCATCTGTCAGATATTTGATTCAAGTGGCAGCCATGGATTTTCTGGAACTCAGCTACCTCAAAACTCCAGTAACTCCAGTGAGGTAAACTTTGCTATAGATGGCCGCCATCTTGTTTTACATGAATGACACAAATGCTAACTTTTTCTGTTTTTTTTTGTTTGTTTTTGTTTTTGTTTTTGAGACGGAGTCTGGCTCTGTTGCCCAGGCTGGAGTGCAGTGGCACGATCTTGGCTCACTGCAAGCTTCGCCTCCCGGGTTCATGCCATTCTCCTGCCTCAGCCTCCCGAGTAGCTGGGACTACAGGCGCCCGCCACCACGCCCGGCTAATTTTTTGTGTTTTTAGTAGACATGGGGTTTCACCGTGTTAGCCACGATGGTCTCGATCTCCTGACCTTGTGATCCACCCACCTCGGCCTCCCAAAGTGCTGGGATGACAGGGTGAGCCACAGCACCCGGCCACAAATGCTAACTTAAGCGAGGAATGCTGGTTCAGAATCTTTACATGAACTCCTTGAAAATAGATTTATAATTAAAATGGTCCCAGTAGGTATTCTCTAAAGAGATAGTCTTGAATGCCAAGCATTTTGGAGGTATCTAACCTCATGTTAACTCCATTTTAAAATTAGTGACATGACTAGACTGAAGTCATAATAATATCTTTGATTTATACATCTCTATTCCTCAGCAGTACTTACCTTCGTTTGAGAGTTCAGTGAATACAAAATTGCATTTTCCTCTCAGGGTTGTCAGGGATCTTCACATAGATAGTACATTCTATGCTGTGTCTCTCCAGGCGCCGTCAAGGGGAGCCTGAGTAATGTCTCCTCATCCCTAGAATTGCTTCTGACCAAACAAATCCTCAGAATGATTTCTGAATGAAATCCTAGAGCATGAAATCCCAGATGTGCCTATGCCTCTTCCTAGTGCCTTTTTCAAACCCACAACATCCCCATGAAGCTGTGTTATTTAATTTCTCCTCCACCAAATAATTTTTTTTTTTTCAGATGGAGTCTCACTCTGTTGCCCAGGCTGGAGTGCAGTGGCGTGATCTCGGCTCACTGAAACCTCTGCCTCCCAGGTTGAAGCAGTTCTTCTGCCTCAGCCTCCTGAGTAGCTGGGATTACAGGCACCTGCCACCAAGGCTGGCTAATTTTTGTATTTTTAGTAGAGATGGGGTTTCACTATGTTGGCCAGGCTGGTCTTGAACTCCTGACGTCGCGATCCACCCACCTCAGTCTCCCAAAGTGCCGAGATTACAGGCGTGAGCCACTGCACCCAGCCAGTTCTTACTCTGCACTTACCATCTCTTACTGTTAGCCACTCTGTCAAGTGCGTATGTCATGGCTCCCAGGAAAGCTTGTAATCGATATAGTTTATATATGCCCTATTTCTATTAGATGTAGTCATTTAATGGCTGAGGATGACTGATTTGTAATAAAGGCCCATAATTTTAGGGTCCTATCTCTTCCAGCATTATATAACAATGTAAAATTCTTACTTTGAAAGTTAAGAGGCCTGGCATGGTGGCTCGTGCCTGTAATCCCAGAATTTTGGGAGGCTGAGTCAGGTGGATCATTTGAGACTAGCCTGGGCAACATGGTGAAACCCTGTCTCTATCAAAAATGCAAAAAATTATCCGAGTGTAGTGGCTTGCTCCTCGGAGGCTGAGGTGGGAGGATTGCTTGAGCCTGGGAGGCAGAGGTTGCAGTGAGCCAAGATCGCACCACTGCACTCTGACCTGGGTGGCAGAGTAAGACCCCATCCCTGAAAAAAGAAAGTTATGAAACTATAGCATCAGTACACTTCCTATTAACAGAGTTTATGTTGGACTTTGAAAATAAATTTTGCTGATGTAGCCACTTACAGTGAGAATTTAAGCTTAGTGCTTAAGATGGGCTCAAATCAACAGGTCCCATCGATGCTCTAAGGAGTGAGAAGAAACTATGATTTCTGCATTTGTTTTACTCCTATTTGTTTTAGCTAAGCATTACTTGTGATGTAGGGATACTGAAGAAATTCCTTTCATTTATAGGACAATTTTAATGCAGCCTCTGTAATTTCTGTGCTATCGTACCCAGATAACTAGATTCAGATAGAATGGCAGATAGAACTAAGGGTGTAATTTGTTTTTTTATATCTCTGGGACTTAAAATTCTGCCTGAGCTGGCTAAATAATTAATATTTCATTTTGCTACTTTTCATCTGCTAATCATTCTTGGAGAATACTTGTAACCTGCACAAACCTATTTTTATACAATAAGTACATTACGCCCATTTCTATAACACAGAAAGGCTGTTGTGAGGGAGGGGCCGTGTGCATTTTAAACTATTTCACTCTAATTGATGCATCATATAACAGCCCAACAGTGAGTCACCCTAATTCAAAATCTGTTAAGTCTGGAATAAAGCCAGTCTTACTTGAACATTTTTTTAGAGGACACTTTGGCTTGCCAAAAATGAAAGCTTTTCATAACGAACGTCTGGATGAGTAATAGTGAGTCTTACACGGCCTTTGAAGGGAGGTGTTTGTCATGGAGATTGTGACAACAAAGTCCCCACTAAGGCTCAGATGGCGGCAACCCCAGAAGCTTCATTGCAGAAATTGTGACAGCCCCTGGGCCTTGGCCCCTTCTTCTGGAAAATTGGCTTGGGGTATTCCAACTTTCTGTGGCAGTGAGTGAATGCAGTATTGTCATCTTAGTCATGAGCTGTAAACTGAAAAAAAAACCTAAAAAACCCCAAAAAACCCCAAAACCAAAACAAACCCCCTAATATTGTTTTCTTAAATGGAAAATATGAATGAAACAGCTTACTCTTCACCACAGTATGGTAATCTGTTTAGAGAGAATATTAATACACAACCCTACATAGCATATATATATGCATACAGCTAGCGAGCTAGCTAGATCCATCTTTGTTTTTCTTTCATATCAACCGATGTGTGGGCCTCAGTCCAAGAAGGAAATAAACACTTTCTCTTCTATGACATTTTACTGTTGTTAAGAAAACTGGGAGCGTGCAACTCCCTTTTGTGTTTTCTCCTCATCTCCCTTGCAAATAGACTTTCCTTTTATCAGCCACTGTGGTGGTTTGGGCCCATTTGTGACAGCCAGATTGTGATTTTGCTACTCACTTCCCTTCAGTGATCCAAGTAGTAATTACAAGCCATTTGATCCAAAAGCATCTGCTGTGAGAACACACGGAGTTTCAATTTTTTCTCCTTGCTGCATACTGAGCATAAGTAATTTGACATGTGGTTTCAGGACCATTGATGTAATAATAATAATAATAAATACTTCTGTGGAATGCCCTCCAAGGAGAGCTAAAGTGATTTGCAGACGTTCACTAGTCAGTCTGGAGTGACTGTGGCTGCAGCCCAGTGATGTTCCCGTGTCGTGATGGCCAGTTGGAGCTGACTGCAAGGTGATCTGAGCAGCAGTGGCCAGAACAGTGGCCCAGGGCTTTGGAACAAAGGATGATTCTCAGGAAGTTCTTTATAGTGGCCATCGCTGAAATGCAGTAGCTACTCCCAGTACAGTATAATGCCCTGATCCAGCCTCAGCTTCCAAAAAAAATCTTTACAATTTATGTCTTTCAAATGCAATTCCTCCCATCAGTCTCCTAACCACCCCACGAGGCTGGCGTTTTTAACCTCTTTTGAAGGTGAAGGAACAGAAGTGCAGAGGCACTAGATAACAGCCCCTAACAAGGCTGAGATTTGACCTGGATTGCCTTGCTATTATTGTATTTTTTCTGTCTCCATTTGCATTCTCAGGACCAGGAAACCTTGAAGAGGCTAGTTGGAAATATATATATATATATATATATATATATATATATATATATATATATTTTTTTTTTTTTTTTTTTTTTTTTTCTTTGATGGGAGGAAGTAGAGTAGGAGGCGTGGTAGGTGCGTAACAGTCCTGGCAAAGGTAGCCAACCGTGGAATTCTGGGTGGTTAAAAAGGTTAATTTAACATAGCAGCATCTTTGACATGGGTAACCTGGAAAAAGAGTTTTCCAGATGGCTCCATTTTTAATGCTTATTTTTAGGATTCTCTCTTCTTTTTATGAAAAGAATATTGGAGAATATTTCATCTGGCTTCCTGAAACTAAAGCATGTGTATTTTCAACTTGGATAGCATTGACCTTCCTTCAGAGAATTAATCCAACTTTCCCTCCAAATGGGCAAAGCTTACAACAACCTAAGAGATCTGTAAGCACCAAGTAGCTTTTTCTTTTTCTAGTTTTAATAAATTAATTTTAAATTCTTGGTGCTTCCTTTGAATAACCAGGTTTTACTTTTCTTGAACTGTATACATTTGTGAGGGTTGTGTGTGTGTGTGTGTGTGTGTGTGTGTGTGTCTGTCTGTCTGTCTGCCTAACACACACCAAAAATTACATTTAACTTTTCATTGAGGGACTCTCTTGAGAGGGTCTTACTCTTTGATGGCCTTGGCTTTGATAGGCGTCTTCTCTTCTATGGTTCACTAGATCTTGGGTCAACAGTGTAGACTCAGAAAACCATTGCTCAGAGCAGTTGTAGCACAGCACCTTGTTTAATGGATTTTAATAGGATTATTTCTTTTGTCCTTCCATCCTTCCATCTATCTGCACACTTTTCTCTTGTCCAGAACTTATTCTCCTTCAATAATCTGTTAATTTTTCTTCTCGAAGCTTCCAGAGAGCATTAAGAACTTGACACTATGTCAACAGATTTGAGTAAGATACTGAAAACGGACAGCGTTTACCCTTCTGCCTGTAATATGACTGTGAATTTCTAGTTGTATCCAGCTCAGCACTGAAGTTTTGGGTGTGTCCTGGGTGTGGGACGCACTGTGTTAATGGCTGAGGGAGAATGAGGATGCAGAAGACAAAGCCTCTGCTGGTATTCATCTTCTCCTGGTGCGGGACTTAGAAGTGACTCTCCTGTGAGCTGGGCTTTGCCAAATGCTGTACCAGGGACATAGGAGAGTAAACTCATCTAAGTGAGAGGACTTGAGGGCAGAGAAAGGAGAGATAGGAGAGAATTCATAAGACAGGGGCATTTTAAACCAGGTTGGAGGGTATATATGGTTTCAGCACTGACTCTACTTGTAAGGACGGTACAGCAGAGAGAGGAGATGGAAGTGAGCACCGGTGTGGAGCAGGAGCATGCCACTCCCTTCTGGGGAATGTTCCCTGAGCCATTCTGTTCAATGGGAACATGGTGTGTGGCTTAGAATAATGGAAAGTAATCAGGAGATTTGGGTTGCACCCATTTTATATAAAGGGAGTTAACTGCCAGGCGGGCATTCTGTGTAGTATAGTGGTGGTGTGAACCAGCTCATCCCAGACTTCCACCCTTCAGATCCCCGGAGTACCATAGGCACTAGTTGTGTAAACTTGGGCAAGTTTCTAGAATTTCCTGAGCCATATTTTTCTTGCCTTTTCCATAGGAAGTGATGATGGTGCCTTCCTGAGAGGGCTGGCTGTGAGTGGTGAGTGAACTGATGGCACATCAGGAGCTTGTTTCATTTGGTCTCACGAGATGCAGTCTTTTTTTTTTTTTGAGATGGAGCCTCCCTCTGTCGCCCAGGCTGGAGTGCAGTGGCACGATCTTGGCTCACTGCAACCTCTGCCTCCCAGGTTCAAGCTGTTCTCCTGCCTCAGCCTCCTGAGTAGCTGGGGCTACAGACGCGTGCCACCATGCCCGGATAATTTTTATTTTTAGTAGAGATAGGGTTTTACCATGTTGGCCAGGCTGGTCTTGAACTCATGACCTTAGGTGATCCACTGGCCTCGGCCTCCCAAAGTGCTGGAATTACAGACGTGAGCCATGGCGCCCGGCCAAGTGATACAGTCTTTCTCTGATTGTCAGTAACGGTGAGAACAAGAGGGTGTGAAGGCACAGTGTTAATTTGTACTGCTCATGTTCCTCCCACACCTGTTTATCCATAATTACGTTCTTCCTGATCTCCAAAAGTGCAGCAGTAAATTAATTGCTCTGTCACCCTCAGTGGGAGCCTGTGACTTCCTCCGGGCCTTGTTCTTTGTGATGTTTCTTACTCCACAGTGACCTCTGCTGGGTTTTAGTTTGCTTCTCAACAAGCCTGGTTTCAGAGGTGGGGCCTGCACCTTTAAGGCAGCATCTGTTTGTTGCTAAGCACCGGGTTGAAATCACTGCCCAGATGAAAAGTACCCGAGAGAATGAACCAGGGAAAAAAATGTGCCTGTGTAAGACAAGAGCCTTTAGCAGAGAGTGTCCGGGCTGGTTCCTGGCATCCCTGGCTCCTTGCATCTGGTCCTGTCTTTTCCTTTGGCATTGGCACGTGTGGGGATGTGCATTCTGGCTGTGATCATCCTTCCAGAAAAATGTACTGAAAGCGACAGATCCAAGACAAATCCAGAAATGTCACTTCAAAATTGAGCACCATGTTTTCAAAAAGATGGCACAGAGAGACAGATTTTTCCCTTGCTTTCTTCTTTTAAATTTCTTTACGATGTCTCTTCTAGTTTTTAAATCCTGCATAGGAGGATCTTTTACTTTGTATTTAAAAATGCATGGAATTCAAAGTAAAATCACCCATTAATGATAACTTTAAAGTATGATGAATGATATATAATAATGTGATAGTATTGAATCTACAGGTGACATTTTCTGGTATGTAAGGTGTTTCACATAAGTGACCTCTTTTGCTCACAAAAACTTAAGTAACAAGTAATTTTTTCAATATGAATTATATTAATAATATCCTCTTTTACAAAACAGGAGCTGAATCGTACGTAGCAAGGTAAATCTTGTCCTAGGCCACACTTTGCTGGTAGAGTCTGTGACTTTTGATTTCGAAGCCCCAAATCTTTTCTTTACTGCTATGTGAATATAAGAACCTACCCAGAGAGAAACATGTCTACATCGCTTAAGAAATGTATGCTATTTTTGTTATGAATTACAAAAGGACGTATTAGCATGAAGTCAGCAATTGTTGTGATGATGTAGTTGGCACACTACACTTTTTTGGGAAAGGCTTCCTGAAGGTGGTATTCTTTGAGATGATTTTCCAACAGTGTCTATGTGTGAGATAGCTGAAGGATAGAGAAAAGATTTCCCAGGACTATGGGTTAATTTTAAGGAACAAATAGATTTCTGTCAGTGATGAGTCAGGCTAAAATTAAAAAGAAGAAACAAAGACAAAAACACAGATAGTCTTAGAAGAGAAAGCTTGTGCTGGATTAAGTGCAGTTCAGAGTCAGGATGGCAGGCAGATGTCAGTGACCATGGACAAGGTGTGTCTGGAATTCAGTGGGAGGTCAGAGAGGGATTATGGCTGAGATGCAGGCTTCACAGTGGCCCTTCTCAACCATGATCCCAGAGCAGTAAGCGTGGATACTCAGCAGCCCTTACATGGATTGCGGTGTTCTTTTTTTATTTTTTGAGACAGACTCTTACTCTGTTGCCCAGGCTGGAGTGCAGTGGCATGATCTTGGCTCACTGCAACCTCTGCCTCCCAGGTTCAAGCGATTCTTCTGCCTCAGCTTCCCAAGTAGCTGGGACTACAGGCGCACGTCAGCACACCTGGCTAATTTTTGTATTTTTAGTAGAGACGCTGTTTCACCATGTTGGCCAGGCTGGTCTCGAACTCCTGACCTCAGGTGATCCACCCGCCTTGGCCTCCCAAAGTGCTGGGATTACAGGCGTGAGCCACCGTTCCCAGCCGGATTGTGGTGTTCTAACTTGGCATAAGCGGTCAATTGACACAGTGGAAAGAACACAGGACAGGCAGTCACTAACTTTCACTCTGCTTCCCATGGCTGCAGTTTCATCTGATAAAATGAGTGAGGAAACGTTGTCAGCCTCAGAGGGCTGTGAGAAGCCAGTGATGTGAAGCGTGTGAGCGTTTACTCTAAATACTCCGTAAATGAACAGGACATTTGGCCGGTGGTTTCCTTCATTTGTTAATCAAATTTGTCTGCATTTTCTTTTGGCATCTACAAACAGGTCGATGAACTTCTGCATATATATGGTTCAACAGTAGACGGTGTTCCCCGAGACAATGCATGGGAAATCCAGACTTATGTCCACTTTCAGGACAATCACGGAGTTACTGTAGGGATCAAGCCAGAGCACAGAGTAGAAGATATTTTGACTTTGGCATGCAAGGTAACGGATTTTGCTGCAGAAATATATTTCTGAATAGAAATAATCATTAATGTTGCAATCTTATGCCTTCTAAATTCATGTGATATTCAAGGGCCCAGTTTCCATGCCAGGGAACATATTAGCATATTTATTAGTTAATATATTTATTAGCATATTCATTAATTTGCATTCTATTCCTTGATCTCTTTAGAAGAATGAGTTATTAGGTCATGATCCCACACTTCCATGAAGAACCTGAGCTAATCTACTGAAATTCTATGTATACTTTGATATCTAGAATAATTATGAAATCCGTTGCTATTTAAGTTACTTAGAGATGGTGTGTTATAAGAAGGCGGCATAAACTTTGAGGTAATTTAATTTAATCCTAAATAGTTTTATCGGATTTCTCCAGATTAAACACGAAACTTGATATATTCACAGTTGCTTTATGGAGATTAATATAAGATGATGTTTTATTCATTTTTCAAACTGGGTTTCATTCCTGATCTGAGAAGGGAGTTTATGGTAAGTCTTAAAGAGAGCCCTCTGAGAGAGAATATATTCAGCAACATCAGATCAGAAGCTTTTAGACCACCAGGTGGTGCAGTAGAGCTTAAATAGTTTTAAGTTTCCAGAGAAAATACAATCAACTATGTTGAAATGGTGAAAAAGGCATATAGAGTTTGGCAACACTTAATCATGTGCACTTAATAAATGTGAAAAATGTTTAATTTTAGTCCCCCTTTTTCACTTTGACTTGAAACATTAGGATTCTCTACATTTATATGTAGTTTATATCCTTAGGAACTTAATTTCCTTTTGCTCCCATATGTAACGTTTTTATTCAGAAAACCAACAATGTTCTATACCAATGATATCCTCCATTAAACTGATAATTTTCTGAGTAATAAAGGGTATCAGAAGTAGTGGGTCAGCTGGGAGCAGTGGCTCATGCCTGTAATCCCAGCACTTGGGGAGGCCGAGGAGGTCAGGAGATCGAGACCATCCTGGCTAACACGGTGAAACCCCGTCTCTACTAAAAATACAAAAAATTAGCTGGGTGTGGTGGCGGGCGCCTGTAGTCCCAGCTACTCGGGAGGCAGAGGCAGGAGAATGGCGTCAACCTGGGAGGTGGAGCTTGCCTTAAGCCGAGATGGCTCCACTGCACCCCAGCCTGGGCGACAGAGCAAGACTCCGTCTCAAATTAAAAAAAAAAAAAAAAAAAAAAAGATGTAGTGGGTCAATTTGACCCAGTTAGAGCATAGGCCTGAGATAAATTTCTCACTGTTGAAAATATGCATGCGAGAGAAAATATGAGTGTGTGTGCGTACACATTTTCGTTTTGAAAGTTTTTGGAGTAGGACATTCTTAAGTCTGTAGATTTGTTAACATTTTACAAATTTCTGTACTTTAGTAATGAGAAACAAGGTTAGGCTTAACCTAACTAAAGAGATGGCATTTGCTGAGCTGATAAGATTTATTTTACTGTCAGATATGTTCTACCGTAATCTCTTAAAAATGCATCTCTTGCCTTTAATCATAAGCAATATTGTTCAGCGAAAACCTTCTTAAAAATAATTGTCCTCCTTTACTTTTTTGCATACAAGTATTTATTTATTTATTTATTTATTTGAGTTGGAGTCTTGCTGTTATCACCCAGACTGGAGTGCAGTGGTGCTACCTCAGCTCACTGCAACCTCCACCTCCTGGGTTCAATCGATTCTCCTGCCTCAGCCTCCCGAGTAGCTAGTATTATAGGTGTGTGCCACTACACCTGGCTAATTTTTGTATTTTTACTATAGTCGATGTTTTGCTGTATTGGCTAGGCTGGTCTCCAACTCCTGACCTCAAGTGATCCACCCGCCTTGGCCTCCCAAAGTGCTGGGATTACAGGTGTGAGCCGCTGCCCCTGGCCTGCATACAAGTATTTAAATTCGAGCTCTTATATAGGTTTAAATTCAGCAAATTATATGCAGTATTCTTTTAGAGATTTCTACTTTGATTTTTAATAAGCCTGCTAACCAATGATGGATTTAGAAAGAGCATTTAAAATCTGAATAACTGTCTTTTTCTTTATAGATGAGGCAGTTGGAACCCAGCCATTATGGCCTACAGCTTCGAAAATTAGTAGATGACAATGTTGAGTATTGCATCCCTGCACCATATGAATATATGCAACAACAGGTAAGTGTGCACTAGCTTTAGGAAGGGAAACTGAACCACATCTATGGCCCTTTGATTTTGAAAAATGTCATTTTTGGGGAAAATTCTGTTTAAATTTGGCGTCTAGTTTGGAAACAGTCTCTATATAAACGGTATCTTAACAGCTTTCTTGTTTTATGAAAAATAGTGTCAAAGTAATTTTTTGAGGTATCATAACATGAGATCCTCTGATTTTGTTGTTTTCACCTTTTGCAGGTTTATGATGAAATAGAAGTCTTTCCACTAAATGTTTATGACGTGCAGCTCACGAAGACTGGGAGTGTGTGTGACTTTGGTGAGTGTAAGGAATGCCCCTTTCAGGGAATTGTGTTGTTCATCTTTGCCTACTTTGCCCCAGCATCTTTGGACTTAATTTTTTCCCCTTACATTCACATTTTCAGAATATATGACAGTAGTTTCTGAACTTCCTTTCTCTTCCTTCATTTCTATTTATTGATATTAGCAGGTGACACAGATAGGTATTAGTATTAGAGGGAAATGCCAAAGTAATTAAATGGAATGAATATAAAATTGATGGGAATTTGAAAATATAGATTAATAACACAATGAATGTACTGTGTGCTGGTGCTGCTCTGAGCAGACCAACTCATGATTCATATGACAGTTGCTTTCATCTCTAGTGTCTTTGCTCTTAGTTTTCTCTTCCCACCTGGAATGCTCCCCTTCTTTCCTCTTTCTTCCCCCATCCCTCCTCTCTGGTGACATGAATCCTGCTGTCCTTCAAGAACTAACTCAAGGTCTTTCTTGAAGAAGCCGTGTCTGATTGCTTTAGCTTTACTTCCTTCTTTCTTCCCTGAGTTTAACAGTTGAGGGTCAGCTGGGCGCCGTGGCTCATGCCTGTAATCCCAGCACTTTGGGAGGCCAAGGCGGGCAGATCACCTGAGGTCGGGAGTTCGAGACCAGCCTGACCAACATGGAGAAACCCCCTCTCTACTAAAAATACAAAATTAGCCAAGCATGGTGGTACATGCCTGTAATCCCAGCTACTCGGGAGGCTGAGGCAGGAGAATCGCTTGAACCTGGGAGGCAGAGGTTGCAGTGAGCCGTAAGCCAAGATTGCACCACTGTACTCTAGCCTGGGCGACAAGAGCGAAACTCCGTCTCAAAACAAAACAAAACAAAAAAACAGTTAAGGGTCAGTACTTCTGAAGTCACTTCATAGCATCATTTCCTACATTTCTCCTTGATTAGATAATGATTGGTAAATACTTCCATAGAAACACTGAATGATTAGATAATGATTGGTAAATACCTCCATAGAAACACTGTTTCTTACCTTGTTAAATATATCGATACATGATTTTTTCCTTAAAATGATTCAAACTAATAATAAAGTTTATAATATGTTAAAATGTCCTTTTTAGGATGCCTTCGTTTTTTAAAAATTTGTATAATCTTTTCTGACCCCCATGTTATTTTTTTATTTTTTATTTTTTTTGAGACATAGTCTTGCTCTGTCACCCAGGCTGGAGTGCAGTGGCATGATCTCGGCTCACTGCAACCTCCGCCTCCTGGGTTCAAGCAATTCTCCCTGCCTCAGCCTCCCAAGTAGCTGGGATTACAGGCACCGTGCTTGCCACCACACCTGGCTAATTTTTGTATTTTTAGTAGAGACGGGGTTTCACCATGTTGGCCAGGCTGCTCTTGAACTCCTGGACTCAAGTGATCCGCCCACCTCAGCCTCCCAAAGTGCTGGGATTACAGGCATGAGCCACTGTGCCCGGACCCCATGTTATGTTGGTTTTTCCTTTGAAGCCCTCTTAGCCTTTTTTCTCCTCCTCTTGGCCTTCACTGTGCTTTTTGTGGTTGCCATTTGTGTTCATCTTTGTATTGGAATGGATGAATGAAGACATTGCAAAGATACTCTCTGGTGAGACCATATTCTACCAGCAGAAGATACTCTCTGGTGAGACCATAATCTGCCAGGCTCTGCTGGGGTCACAGCAGAGACCTAGGGAACAGGACATTCTTGCTGTCCTCAAAGAACTCTCCGTATTAGGGGACCAAGACATGGAAACCTGTGCTCCTCACTGTGGCATCACAGAGGGGGACACTAAGTCAGGAGCCATGCATTCAGAAGAGGGAAGGTCTGCCTAGGATTTGCATGTAGTCTTATGTATTTAGGGCAAGCACCGTATTCATCCAAGCATTTTTTCACCTTCTTAAAATGCTCAACCCCAAACATAGTTGTTTCTCAACAATTATTTGTTGTATTGAACTGAATTTCATGTATTTCAGTGAGAGTATTTTTTTGCTGTTAAATTTGCCTAAATTTTTAATTGTGGTAATAGACATATAACATAAAATTTATCGTCTTGACCACTTTTAGGTGTACAGTTTTGTGATGTTAAGTACATTCACAATGTTGTGCTACCATCATCTATCTCTAGAAATCTTTTCGTCTTGTAAAGCTGAACTCTGTACCCATTTAACACCAATTCCTCATACTGTCCTTCCCCCAGCCCCTGGCAACCACCAGTTTGTTAATACTTTGTATCTCTCGGAATTCCCCTAGCAACCACCATTCTATTAATACTTTCTACCTCTCTGAAGTTGACTGCTCTAGCTACTCACGTAAATAGTATCATACTGTGTTGTCTATTTGTGACTGACATATTTTACTTAGCATATTCTCCTCAAAGTTCACCCAAATTGTAGCATATGCCAAGATATTTTTCCTTTTTAAGACTGAATGATACTCCACTGTATGCATAGATCACATTTTGCTTATCCATCCGTCTATTGACAGACAGTTGGGTTATTTCCACCTCTTGGCTATTGTGAATTACGCTGTTATGCGTGTGGGTGCATGGTCTCACCTTTGGAATAAAAGTTATGTTTTTATATTTCTTAAGCCTCTCGTTTGACATTTGTCTTTTTCTGCCCCTGCAAGATATTTATACTTTCAAAATAGCTGTAATTTCGACTTTCTCAACATACTGTACTTATGAGAAAAGATGTTCAAGGAGATACTGCCGGTGTGGTTGGAGAAATTCAGTGTGGTGGGCTGAGACTTGCTTTTTCCTTTTGTTTTCATTCCTAGGGTTTGCAGTTACAGCGCAGGTGGATGAGCGTCAGCATCTCAGCCGGATATTTATAAGCGACGTTCTTCCCGATGGCCTGGCGTATGGGGAAGGTCCGTGTGGCACACCGTGCCCCTGTTGCCTCTTAATTTGAAACTGTGGGATACAGTCTGGCTAGTGAATGTTTCTTCTTACAGTTTTGTCAGAAAAAGGTTGCTCCTGGAATTTTAAAGAAAGTAAACGTAAGAGTTTAATTGGAAATGCGACCAAACACAGCGGCTCGCTCGCATAAACCCAGCTGCTCAGGAGGCTGAGGTGGGAGGATGGGAGGATTGCTTGAGCCCAGGAGCCCAAGACCAGCCTGGGAGACAGAGTGAGACTCCTGCCTCCGTAAAAAAGGACAGAGAGAGAGAAAAGAAAGAAAATGCATATGCCTATATATAGAGAGAGCATGTGTGTGTGTGTGTTTAAAAGAGTAAGTGTATACATATATATAGACAGAGGGAAGGAGGAAGAGAGTGTGAGACAGACAGGCGGACACGGATGGAACAAAGTTAACATGGGAACACTAGAAAAAACAACGAATGAGTGGTTCTCAGGAGGCTGAGGCACAAGAATCTCTTGAACCGGGGAGACAGAGGTTGCAGTGAGCTGAGATCTTTCAAACTGTTTCTTCGAATAGTAGCTGTGAGAGAGCTAACATTTGTTTTGCTCTTAGTGGCATCTAAATACTATACATTTTGGCCCTTTAATTCTTTTTTGTTTTTCTTATTTAAAAGACGAAGTCTTGCTATATAGCCCCAGGCTGGCCTCAAACTCCTGGGCTCAAGTGATCTTCCTGTCTCTGCCTCCTGATTAGCTGGGACTACAGGCACCTGCCACTGTGCCTGGCTGGCACTTTCTTTGAAGAAAGCAACAAACAAAACAGTCCCTACGAGTACATGGTTTGAGTTTGCAGCCTTCTTTCATCTGAAAATATTTCTCACAGTAATCCCTCTCTCTTTTTTCTGTTTCTCCTTCCTTTTTCTCAGGGCTGAGAAAGGGCAATGAGATCATGACCTTAAATGGGGAAGCTGTGTCTGATCTTGACCTTAAGCAGATGGAGGCCCTGTTTTCTGAGAAGAGCGTCGGACTCACTCTGATTGCCCGGCCTCCGGACACAAAAGCAACCCTGTGTACATCCTGGTCAGACAGTGACCTGTTCTCCAGGGACCAGAAGAGTCTGCTGCCCCCTCCTAACCAGTCCCAACTGCTGGAGGAATTCCTGGATAACTTTAAAAAGAATACAGCCAATGGTAAGGCTTTGTTCTGTCTTCCTTCTTAACTGCTGGTATCAACAGCCAATATTTTTAGGCTGTAATTTTGCTTGCAAACTCAGATTATTTAAGCTGTTCAAAGAATGTTTTCTAATTTATTAGAAGAACACAGATGCCAACTGGAGTAGATTTTATCAAAATTTCATGCGTTTTAGTAATTATAGCGCTTTCATTAAAATAGAAAATAATTATTTTTGCACAAAATAACATTTAAAAAAAAATCATGGACTCTTTAAAAATCACCCATAATGTTTAGTCTTGTAGTTCCTTTGTGACTGAAGGCAGATGAAAGCCTGCATAAATGCCAAAGTGGAAAGATTTTTCTTATTTAGTTGAATCTAAGGCACAACCATTTTGCAGTCTTCTGTTGGGCTCTTAGAACAGCCCGTGCATTTCAGTTCAGTTATATCTTTTGTTAAGTACTACTTTATTAATAAACAGCAAACTTTCTTTTTTAAAATTTATTTTTATTTTTATTTTTTTTTGAGACAGAGTCTCACTCTGTCACCCAGGCTGGAGTGCAGTGGCACAATCTCAGCTCACTGCAAGCTCTGTCTCCCGGGTTCAAGAGATTCTCGTGCCTCAGCCTCCTGAGTAGCTGAGACTACAAACGTGTACCACCATGCCTCGCTAATTTTTGCATTTTTAGTAGAGGTGGGGTTTCAGCATGTTGCCCAGACTGGTCTCAAACTCCTGACCTCAGGTGATCTACCCGCCTCGGTCTCCCAGAGTGCTGGGATTACAGGCATGAGCCACCGTGCCTGGCCAGTAAACAGCAAACTTTTAATGTAGGTCATGAATTTTAAAACTTTGTGAAGGCCTAAAAATGAAAAACTGTGTGCCAGTTTAGTTTTCTCACGGTAAGACTTCCATATGAGGAAATCATTTGAAGGTCTGAAGTTTTGAGTTGATCATTCATGTGTATTTCATGTACTGCAGTCAAGTAAATTAGGGGCTCGGCTAGTACTGAAAACCAGTAGTTTCGCTTTATACCTCTGGAGAGCCCGGGTCAAGCTCCACAGGAGACCAAGTGTGGGGTCTTTTTCCTGGGAGAACACAGAGCAATTTTTATACTTAATTACGATAATAATGGATTTCCAATTGAAATCTCTGCATGATTACCAAAAATGAATGAAAAAACACCAAAGAGAAGTTGTTAGGATTGATTTAATTATAAAGGAAGTTTATTAGGTCATTTTTGGAATTAAAAAATCAGATGGTAAGATTTGCGATTCAATAAGGTATCTCGTGCTTTCTCCTCCTCTCTTGGGGCTTTCCTCTAATTTAAAATGCCATTAAATGGACTATTGGCATATAAAAGTGAATGTCATAAAACAAAAATTATGATGGAACTTATTAATTACTTGGGTATATTAGGGCCATCATTCAGCTACCCTGGGCTGCTGTTATGGGCCTGAGTATTCCATATAATACATACATGTGTCCATTTGTTGGATTCATTACTCTTGAGGGATACATTCACTACCTGTGTTATGTCTCTATGTATTTTATCATAATAAGAAATTACCACAGAGGCTATAATACTTTTGGTACTTGCGGGAATGAATTCCTGTAGAAAGTAGAGAAAGGGGCAAATTTACCTTTTTTTTTTTTTTTTTTTTTTTGAGACAGTCTTGCTCTGTCACCCAGGCTGGAGTGCAGTGGCGCAATCTTGGCTTAGTGCAACCTCCACCTCCCGGTTTCTAGTGATTCCCTTGCCTCAGCCTCTGAAGTAGCTGGGACTACAGGAACATGCCACCACGCCTGGCTAATTTCTGCGTTTTTAATAGAGATGGGGTTTCACCATGTTGGCCAGGCTGGTCTTGAACTCCTGACCTCAAGCGATCCACCCTCCTCAGCCTCCCAAAGTGCTGGGATTACAGGTGTAAGCAACCGCGCCCGGCTGTTTTTCTTTTCTTTTTAAATTTTTTTTTAAATAGTAAGGATCAAGCAGGTGAGTTAAGCCACTTTTATTTATTTATTTATTTATTTATTTATTTATTTATTTATTTATTTATTGGCAAGGAAACAGAATAAAGAGGCAGTCCTGGATCTGTTAAATAGCTATTCTATTACTCATCTTAGGCAGCCATTCGGACTGTCTAATCCTTTACAACCAATGTCTGTGTGGACAGAGAGCTTAGTTAGCCAGGCAGGCACGGTGCTTGTCCACATCACGTCCTCCTGATGGAATCTTGCAGGTTCTTCCACTACCAGCCTAGTGGGAGCCACTAACCCTTTCCTGGTGTCCTGGCAAGACTGTGCTCTGTGGGTGTGACAGTCTCCCAGGCAGCGCCCCGCCCACCTCTGCCCTGAGCTTTACCATTCCTCCCCTCTCCTAAGCTCCAGGTGGCTGTTCCATAGTGATGTCGCCTGTGCTGGAAAAAACAGCCCCAGCAGACTCCTTCCCCAGACACCACAAACAGAGGCTTTTCTTTTTCTTTTCGAGGTAGTTGCGTTGCTTGTGAAGGAAGTTACATGCCTTTGGGCAAACATCTCAGAAGGAAGTCTTCCATTTTGAAGGTTGAGGGGAAAAGAAAATAAGGGTAGGTGGGTGGATTAAAAGATAAAAGTGAAAAAAGACCAGGTCTCTCATTCATATGCAACATCTGAATGACAAGAGAAGCCTGTGTTTGTGGAAACTCTGAGAGATGGCAGGGTGACAAGCATACAGGTTTTGAGTCAGACGTGGGTTCAGGTCCTGGGCTGCCCTATACTGGTTTTTTGACTCACCCAGGGAGTTCTGGGCTTTGGTGGATGCTACCCCAGCCTCTTTACCCTGGTGGAAACGGTTCTGAGGTGCAGTCTACACAGCTCTGCAGATGGGCCCTGGAATGAGCCCCAGCTGTACACAGCAGCCTCGCTTTCACACCTCCCATGGGCTTCCTGCCCTTCTTGCCTCACTGTCCCTACCCCTTCCTTTGGGAATCTCGGGGTCACCTTCCAAATAAACTTCTGTACTCAAGTCCTTGACTCAGACTCTGCTTTTAGGGGAGCCCGAATGAAGATGCTGAGCCTCACTTTTCTCATCCAGAGGATAATGTTTCTCCCCTGCCCCTGTGGTCCCTGTGAGTTTGGGGGAGTTCCTGTCTGTGGCATGTTCAGCCCAGCGTTTCACTTGGCAGGAATTCTGAAAACGTGCTTCTCCTCCTCCTCCCTCGCTTTTGCAGCTTCCTGTTTTATTAAAAATTACCTTGATTTACTTTTGCAATGAATTAGAAAACAGTAATCCCATTTTTTAACTAAAAAAGTTAAAATTTACGGAAATCAAAAATTTAAATGACTTTGAAAAACAGTTTTTAATACAACTTTGAATTATAACTTAGCAGTGGCCGGCCATTTGAGAGCCTGCCTTTCCCTAAATTTCACTTTCCCTTGGCATTGCTAGAAGGCAACCATGTACTTGAAAAGAAGGAAAGTTCTGTTTGCTTTTCCAGAGAAGCCAATCCTTTGCTTGCTATAAAAACCAAATGGCTGGCTCTCTGGGAAAGAAGACCTGTTTTTTTAAAATAGAAATTATAAGAATATCAGAAAGTAGATGAAAAGGAAAGCCTTAAGCACTTGTTTGGGCTTATGTTGCCCTTCCAAGCAGAATATTTATAGCCCCCTGTCGAGCACTTAAAATGTGTGGGGGACCCTGGGAACAAGCTACACAGAGTTCAGGGCTTTCAGTCATATCCTGAAGTTTACGTTGCTTAACTTTTGTCTCTTGATCAGTTTCAAGTGGGAAAAAAAATCTGTCTCTGTCTATATCTCTATATCTAATGAATCTTTTACTGAAAGAAGTGTTAGTCACAGTGGCAGGTCCCAGGAAGCTAGGGGGTTGCTTGTGGGTTGCTATTAAGGTTCTGCTTTTCTAGAAAAGAAGCATCCTTGCAGTATTTGACATTCATTGATACTAATAATGTTTAGGAAAATGGGTCTCAAACTTCCTAGTGCCCAAGACTCACCTGCTGAGCTTAATGAAAATGCAGATTCCAGGGTTTTGCTGTGGGTGCACCTCCTGCAAGAGGCTTGGGGCAGTGCAACCCCCCCTCCCCCACCCCGCCCCCTTTTTTTTTTTTTTTTTTTTTTTGAGATGAAGTTTTGCTCTTGTTGCCCAGGCTGGAGTGCAATGGTGCAATCTTGGCTCACCGCAACCTCCACCTCCTGGTTCAAGGGATTCTCCTGCCTCAGCCTCCCGAGTAGCTGGGATTACAGGCATGCACCACCACGCCTGGCTAATTTTGTTTTTTTAGTAGAGACAAGGTTTCTCCATGTTGGTCAGGCTGGTCTCGAACTCCCAACCTCGGGTGATCTGCCCGCCTCGACCTCCCAAAGTGCTGGGATTACACGTGTGAGTCACTGTGCTCGGCCGCAAGCCCCATTTTTAACTTGCGCAGGTGTGGAAAGCAGCCTTGGAGAGCCAGCCTCTCTAGCCTGCATTGGCTGGAGAGCAGCCCCAGGGCTGGCGTGAGCACTCCCGCTGCCCCTTGGCCATTAGTCTACAAGAGGTGGCCTGAACTGAGGCAGTAGGACTTACTGTTTCCTGAGGCCTTCTATGCCGAGGTTTTGAGGATGGAATGAGATAATGTGTGCAAAGTTCCCGGCACATGATCTCTGTTGCGCATGTGTGTTCTTAGGAATTGTGTGTCCCAAACCTCCACCATTGTCTTTCCTCGTGCGCTCAGAATGCAGGCAGTCGACTCTTAGCTCACCTCGTTTATTGCTGGGCCCGTGCTTGGAAGACACCATGTTCCATTTGGCAAATCGCTTACACTGGGAAGCAAAGAACTTCCAGCATTCACCAGCTTCACTCCACTATGCCTGTGATGCTCTGTGAGGAGCGGAAGAGACAGGAATATATGGAGAATCGTTGAGGGTTCAGTATGAAGTTCCTCTGTTGCCTACAAAATGAGTGACCATTTGATTTTGCCTAGAAGGGCTTAAATTTCTGTTCTAGTTATTCACAGTGGAGAGAGGAAATGTCCGTAGGCTGTATTTGACTTGAGCGGAAATATCATCTGTAAAAACTTTTTATGGAGAGAATTAATTTTACCACTGGAATTCCCCAGAGAGGCCAGTGTTATTTCAGAGCCAACAAGGCAACCATTGAAGGGATTGGACAGGCCAGACCTGTTTATACTGGGATCCTGTTAATGCCATACTTGTGATTTGTGTATGAAAATCCCTTTTCTAGTGTTTGCCATCTTTTGAAACATTCCAGCAGCTTTTAAGAAAGTCTCATTGGGCATAGAGTTTCTGAATAAAGTCTTTATGTAAACACTGAACTTGTCGCATTAATGAATTCTCCATCTATAAACAGCCATTAATCCTACCTTGTTAGGATTGGAGGTGTATTTAATAGGGGACAAAAATAGAAAAGACCTATGTTCCTCCTTCCATTTAGACGATGTAAATCCAACACAGGCTTACCAGATGATGAAGGTAATTGCAGCCTGAGGTTCTTTTTTTAGCCTCCACGCCCCCTTTGAATCATTCTTTTTTTAAATCGCTGTGAGTAGCGTTGAGTCTCAAGCTACCAGAAGCCACTTCGATGTAAATTTGCTCTTTGGAATGAATTGCTCTTGGGAATGTATGTGTCCATTATATAGCTTCTCACCAGGGAAAAGCATTATAGAGCCAGCTCTGATGTGGCAAACCCACTTATTTCCTGTTTATGAGAGTGAGGGCATTTTGGCTTCCATAGCCTGTTTAGGATGACTAACAGCATTTAGCTCAGAGAATGCTCTGTTTGTGTGTAAAACTGCTATTAGTGAGTCTGGCTGGCTGATACCCCAGATTTCCAGATGTAAAAACATATTAGTGTTCCTAAAGATGAGTGGTACTTTTTTTTTTTTTAAATCAGAAAACAATCTGATTGGGAAATACTGGTTTTACCAGGACACAGAACTTTGGTCTCAGAATTACGAGTTTGTTTTGTCTGTGCTGAAGATCGGTTTCATTTCCACCAGTGTGGAAGTGAGCGTGTGGCTTTCTTTTAGTGGTGGAAAAAATTAAGATCCTGGATACTAATTTCCTTATAAAACTTAGTTTTGTTTGATTCTCTTTTTCTTATTCTCAGTCATTTATTTATTCACTTGTGTATTTAACAGATAACCTTTTGTTAAATGTCGAAGGTACATAAAGGTGAATTACACATTATTTCATACTCTCAAGAAGCTCATAGTTGAATTGGAAAACACTTGTAAATCCTGGCTCCAAAGAAAAAAAAAATTGCAATGAAGAGAATTAGAGGTCAGAGGTGGGATTTCCACTAATTTTTCTGTTTTACAAGAGCAAAGGCACCCAGAAGCAAGGCACAGGGCTCTCAGCATCAGCATCAGAGGACAGTTTCTAGAAGGGTTTGTGTTTGATCTCAGCGCTGCAGTTGGACAGGCCATGGACCTGGAGGTGTGTGGTGGGGGGATTTGGTGGAGGGAAGGGCCTTTCACATAGAGCAAGCAAGCTGGAAGACAGAGGCTGCATGTAGAGGTCACGGGAAGAAAGGTTGGAAAGTCTATTGGGGCCAGATTGTAGAAAACCCTGAATTCCAGGAATTTATAACGTATCGTTGCATGTATCTGAAAAACCAACTAGCTAATTAACTAACTAATGAATATTGTATTACTACTTCCCCCTGCCTTCTATAAAATATAGAGAACTTGTCTGCTCATTTGATGGCCACTGGAGTGTGTGTGTGACTTGAAAAGCTTGCCCCTGCCTGTCACCTCTCTGATCCCACCACTCTAGCTTCATTCCTTTGGATCTTAAAGTATTGTCATGTTGAATGATCAGAAGCCCCTTATAAAATAAATATTCAGATGTTTTAGAGGAAAGAGTGAATAAAGGAACCCCTATATGTTCTCTGTAAAACCTAAGTCTTCCTCAGCACTGGGAAGCCGTCTCCACTAAAGTGTGGTCCTCACCGGTCCCCTTTAGGGGTGAGGTAGATGGATTAACATCCTGCTGGCCTGTGACAGGGATGGCTGGTGGGGAGGGGACACCCCATGGCAAAGAGGACCAGGCAGTATGAGGGTCAGGAGGAGAGATGTTAAATAAACGTTCCCAGCATTTTGAGTAAAAATCAGTCTTGGCTTTTCTCTCCGAACATTAACTATAAATACAACTTTCAGATAAAAATCTACAGAAGTTCTCTGAAGCACACTGTGTGAAATATCTGTTGGCTCTGCCACTTTTGATAGACATTTGAGAGTTTGGGATGCCAGGCAGGTCTCCTATGAAGGTAGAGTGAGCCGGCTCTCTGTGAAGCAGTAGTTCTATGAAACTATTGGCTGCTGAGAAGAGGAAACTTTACAGCCTGTTACATAAGGAAAAGGAAAAAAAAAAAGATCTCACTTTCCTGTCGGTGTTATGAGTACTGGCTGCCAAATGGTGCTTGTTTGTGTTTCTATTTTTTTCCTCCTTCTTTTGTAAGGGGCTTGAAAATGAATTCTATTTCTCACTTTATTCCTGCCTATGAAGGAAGTGAGATCATTGGGAAGGACCAAGTATGAAAATCTTCTTTTTAGCTCTCGTGTTTAGAGATAACTGTATTGTGACACTATCTTCGCTTTTTCAGATTGGTAATACATGCGCATGGTACAAAATGCCAGCAGTGTAGAAGGGTAAACGGTGACAGCTAAGTCCCCCTAAGCTACATCGGGCAGTGGTGAAGAGCATGGACACCATCTGATGACCTGGTTCAGGTCCTGGCTCCAGCCTCTCCTACTCACTAGCTGTGTGACCTTGGACAAGTCACTTAACCTGAAAGCTCAGTTTTTCCAAGTGTAAAATGGTCTAGGATTTTTGTAGGAGCAACGGACTAGTATTTGGAAAGCACCAGATACTGCCTGGCACGTAGTAAATGCCATGTAAGTGTGTGTTGAATACGCAGATACATTCCTCCTACCCTGTTCTTAGCCATGCAGTGTCTCTTCCAGAGGTCATCATTGTTCTTAGTGTCTTTCTCATCCTGGCCTGGAGAATTCTAAATATTGGGGAAAATTGGCTGGGCGCGGTGGCTCATGCCTGTAATCCCAGGACTTTGGGAGGCTGAGGCAGGCCAATCATTTGAGCTCAGCAGTTCAAGACCAGCCTGTGCAACATGGTGAAACCCTGTCTTTACTAAAAATACAAAAATTAGCCAGGCGTTGTGGCGCACACCTGTAGTTCAAGCTATCACTCGGGAGGCTGAGGCAGGAGAATCGCTTGAACCCAGGAGGTGGAGGTTGTAGTGAGCCAAGATTGCGCCACTGCATTCCAGCCTGGATGACAGAGTGAGACTCTGTCTCATAAAAAACAACAACAAAAAAAAAAAATTGGGGAAAATAATGGGGTATTTTTCTGCCTTGTTTTTACTCCATTGTCTTAGTACATGGCTATGGTGGAGAGAATAATGGCCCACCCCAAACATGTCCACATTCGAATCCCCAGAACCTGTGAATATGGCAAAAGGGATTTTAAATTTCAAAAGACTTTGAAGATATGATTAAGTTAACTATCTTGAGATGGGGGATGGATTTTCATGGATTATGTGGGGGGCCCAGTGTAGTCACAGGGGTCTTTACTGGAGGGAGGAGGGTCAGAATCAGAGAAGTAAATGTGATGAGGGAGGGAGAGAGTTGACAGCCACGAGCCAAGGAATGCAGGCAGCCTCTAGAATTTGGAAAAGGGATGGAAAGAGTCCTCCCTTACAGCCTCCAGATAGAACACAGCCCTGTGGCCTTAATCTTCTGATTTTCAGAACTGTAAGGTAATAAACTGAGTTTACATGTCAAGCACCATGTTTGATGGCAGAAATACAAACATGAAAAAAAAACAACACAGTTCTGGTATTCGGGGTGCCATGGTCTGGAGGCAGACGTGTGTACAGACAGCAGTCATAATCCACTATTGTCATTACTCTAGTTTTACAGTTCTTGGACTTGTCGGTCTCTTTCTGGACGCTTTACTGTTAAAAATTATTGAGGGCCCTAAAGAGCTTTAGTTATGCGGGCCACATCTATATCTATTGATATTGACTGTATTAGAAATGTAAACTGAGCAATGTCCAAAATGTTTGTTTAACATAACAATAGTGGATCCATTTTTATGTAAACACAATAAACATTCTTTTAATGAAATGTCTCCTCAAACCAAAAAAAAAAAAAACTTAGTGAGTAGCCTTATTTTACATTTTTGCAAATTTCTTTAATGTGCATCTTAATAGAAGAAAACTAGATTCTCATATCAGCATCTACATTCAGTCTGTTGCAGTGTATTGCTTTGGTGGAAGTTATTTAAAGAAAATTCATTCTTATACAGGTACATGTAGTTGGAAAAGGGAGGAGTATTTTGATACTCCTTTCAGACAACTGTGGATATTCTTTCATGTGTTCCCAAACTCAGCAAGTGGCCATTTCTTCAAGGTTGGTTGCAATGCGGAACCTGAGGCATTATTGGTGGACTTTTCTTATTTGGTAGCATTAAAATTCATTGGCCTATCTTGTACTTGGAATAGATCTTTTACTCATGCGTGATTTCATAACATGCATTGTTTATTTGGAAATATGGAATCACTAAGTTATGTAGATCTTCCAAATGTGGACATTTCATTTCACAGTATTAAAAATTACTTTCAGGCCAGTCACGGTGGCTCACACCTGTAATCCCAGGATTTTGGGAGGCCGAGGTGGGAGGATGGCTTGAGGCCAGGAGATTGAGACCAGCCTGGGCAATGTAGTGAGATCCTATCTCTACAAAAAATAAAAAATTAGCTGGGCATGGTGGCTTGTGCCTGTAGTCCAAGCTACTTAGGAGGCTGAGGTGGGAGGATTGCTTGAGTCTGGGAGGTTGAGGCTTCAGTGAGCTGTGGATTGTGCCACCGCACTCAGCCTGGGGGACAGAGCGAGACCTTGTCTCAAAAAAAAATGTCACACTCAGATCTCATTGGAAAAGTATTGGGAAGCTCACGGTGGCAGATACAAATTTTCCAAAATTCTGATTTTTGTTGGACAGTTTGAATTATATCTACCAATACCGTCAGGCTCATTTTGTTCATTTTAAAGAAAATGTTTTTTTCTCACCTTTATTTTCCAAGTAAAAATTGTGGTTCTTGAAAAAAGACAGTTAGTTCCGCTCCCAACACAGTTGTACATATGTTTTTCCTCAATGCTACGATTGTGCTTGGGTATGCAGCTGACGAGTTGTATGTGTGCTTCCTGAACATGTTCCAAGGGTGGAGGTTTAGGAAAATTACCAATTTTTGCTGCTCCATTGAGGACATTCTTAAGTGAAACTGGCGCATTTTTAAATGTAAGAGTGTGGCAATGAAGAGCGCAATGGTGCTGAGCACAGTTTGGTGTTCCTGCCTTATTTGTGCTGAGACAGCAGCAGATGCTTTGCACCATCAGTGCACATGTCCTCAGAGAGCAAAAGGCAAATGACATTTGACATTTGACATTTTTCTGAAAATAATTTTCAACTTGTGGACTCCCTGGAAGGGTCTTGGTGACCCCAGGAGTCTACAGACCACACCTGGAGAAGGGCTGTTCCGATACATATGGAGCAGCAACACAGAGGAGCAGAAAACTCATGTTCCAGGTTGATCAGGGCCACTCTCCAGGGAGGGTCTCACCTTTGTTAACCCCTAGGGAATGAGAAGGTAGATGAGGGGGCATAGAGCGTTCCAGGCGCAGAGAAGCCGGGAGGAGGCCGGGGCTGTCTAGCTGTGGGGAGGTGTGTGAGTAACTCAGATGGTTGGAGACTCAGGTGCAAATGGGGAAGAGGAGAAGGTAGGGTGAGACAGGTGAGCAGGGCCAGGTGACAAAGGGTCCACGGAGCTGCGAGCAGCCTGGATGTAAAGATCCACAGGGAAAAGATGATCAGGGTATGGTGGGTCAGATTTGTAGGTTAGAAAGACAGGCAGCCCCGGTGCCAGCCAGGGAAGGGCATTGCAGCTGCTGCTAGTCCTCTAAGAGATGACCAAGGGTGGCCAGGCACCAATGGGCTGAGAGGTGGGTGGCACAGCATGGCAGGCAGTCCCTGCCCTTCCCTCCCTCAGAGCACATAGGTAGGAGGAGATACTCTGTCCTCCTCCTTTACAGGGACTCTGTCTTGTATTTGTCACCAATAAATCACTGGGCACATAAGTAGAGTCATTCAACAAATATTTGCTTGAACATTTGAACAAATGAGTAGAGGATATAGGAACAACAAGACTCAGAATATGAGAAAGAAGAAAACCCCAGGTCTTCCGCTTTAAACATTTCAACATTGACATGATTTGGCTGTGTCCCCACCCAAATCTCATCTTGTAGTTCCCTTAATCTCCATGTGTCATGGGAGGGACCAGGTAGAGGTAATTGAATTATGGGGGCGGTTTCCCCCATGCTGTTCTCATGATAGTGAGTTCTCATTAGATCTGATCATTTTATAAGGGGCTTCCCCCTTTGCTGGGCACTGATTCTTCTTGCTGCCACCATGTGAAGAAAGACATGTTTGCGTCCCCTTCCACCATGATTGTAAGTTTCCTGAGGCCTCCGCAGCCCTGCGGAACTGTGAGTCAATGAAACCTCTTTATTTTATCTATTACCCAGTCTCAGGTATGTCTTTATTAGCAGTGTGAGAATGGATTAATACAAACATTAACTTTATTTTTCAACAAGATTCTAAGGCTTAAGGTGTGCAAAATAAAACTTGTAACTAAGAAGGGAGCTGTGGCTTTGTTTATAGCTTGAGATTGAATCCGGGTGCAAATAATTTGAGAAGTTTTTGCCTTCAAGGTGGAAAATGAACTTCTATACTTAATCCTGAATTCAGGCACATAAATTAGGTCCATGACATGAGATTTGCATTTTTTTACCCCATGGTAGGTACCCATCGCCTGTGAAGATCACACTGAGGCCAAGCTGAGAAACCAGTGATCTCTGGAGAAAAATATTTTTCTCTCATTTTACTTTTCTCTGGTTTATCAAGTATTTAGTTACTGCCTGTTGTGTCAGGCATTGATCTAGGAGGGCTAGAGATAAACAGTGAACACAGCAGGTAAAAAAGCATCCTTGCCCACGTGGAGCTTACTTGTATTTTAGTGTGTGGACATACAGAGTAAGCGGGAACCTCACAATTAATAAGTTATATAATGTATTCACAGATGATAAGTGTGACGGAACAAAAATTGATCAGGGTGGGAGGGATGGGGAGTAGGGGCCAGGCTGGTTGCAGTTGTGCATAGGGCAGGCCGGTAGTGCTCAGGGAACAATGGACACCTAGGAGCACAGGCTTGTGGGAGGTCAGGGATGGGGCCACGTGGCCGTCAGGGGGCAAAGCCTTCTAGGCTGAGGGAACAATCACATGTGCCCCGATGTGGCCTGTTTTTCGGCAGGTGTGCCTGGAAGGGCAAGGGAAGAGCAGAGCAGTGAGAGGTGAGGCCCAGAGGAAGTGTGAGGCCAGATCAGGCTGACCTCAAAGACCATTGTGAGGTCCATTTATTGGAGGGAAGGGAGAAGCCGTTGCAGAGAAGGAGGAGCAGGGAAGTAGTGACATGATCTGACGAGTGATTGGTAAGGATCACTGAGTGTTGCTGAAAATGGACTGAAGGAGGCAGTGGTGCAACAGAGGCTTTGCCGTCACCCAGGCGAGAGGTGAGGGGGTGGAGTCTGCTTGGGGTGGTGGCAGTGGCAGTAGAGCCAACAGAGCTCGCCCAGAGACTGGAAGGAGAGGGATCAGAGGTGACCCCCAGGTTTTGGCGTGAGCATCCAGAAAGTTGGAGTTTCCATCAGTTAAAATAGGAAGATGGGTGTGGAGCAGCTTTGGGGAACGATGAGGAATTGGTTTGGGAACTCCTTGTGTTTAACTTCTGTTCATGTTGAATATTTCACCTGCTTCCAAAACCGTTTTGAAATGAAAACTCATCTATAAAATTCCATAAGAGGTATCAAAATTAGCAACAGAAAGAGAAAGGGGGGAAATTTTAAAAGGCATATTGGTCTTTCCTCTAGATTGGATGGTGTTGGGAAGCGGGAGTTACTCAATGATTGGGAATCTTAATAATCTTACCTAGAAGATGCTCTAAATGGTAAATGAATTTACAATGAAAACGTTATCTATAAAATTCCATTAAATTCATCAAAATTAGCAACATAAAGAGAAAGGGAGGAACTTTGAGTGACACATTACCCCTTTAAAGATGTCCACTCATAGTGTAAGGCAAACACATATTTGTTTATAGGAGAATAAATCAATAGGCTTTGAAATGCAAATTGTAGCACATCAGTTCCTTTCATTTCAGACAATTTAGTTCTGATCTGTTGTACCTTATAAATTTATTTCTGCCCTACCATACTCAGCTATGATTATTTATAAATTATCCAATCTCATATAAATCCATTTATCTGTTATCCTTTCTTGCATATGGCTGTTAACATCTTTAACATGTCGTGGGAAAATGTGACAAAGTTCAAATTATCCCATTTTGTTACTTGTTGGTAGCTCTGGAGAAGGTTATTTGGAAAAAAGCACATGAAATTGTTAACAAAATTATTGTGTATCTTCTGTTAGGAGCCCTGGCCAGCTGCCCTGGGGAGTGAGCAGGTGCTATTCCACAGTTTCTAGAGTGGCAGGATGCCCCCTCCTTCCAGAAGTCTCCCAGTGGGCTTGTGCCAAATCTGGACTTCCCAGTGAAGCACTTGGAAACTGCCGAATGAAAGGACATGTGATCCTCCACATTTTAACATTTTTCTTTCCAAACACTAGTTATTTTCTCCTAAATTGCCATTTGTGAATCTAATTCTGTCTTTCATGTTTCAGTTGATGAATGGCCATGCCATTCTTTTGTGAAGTTTAGGCATCTTCGCATAGCAGTATTAGCAACATTATTTGAACATTTATTGAATTTTGTCATTATTATTTTATACAAATGATTGAGGAAAAATGGGGGCTGAAAATGTTGATAAGAAGCCTAGCTTTTCTAAGCTTAATTACCCATGACCCCGAAATGCCAGTCACCGCATGTGTCCAGCCAGCAAGACATTAGCTCCATATGGATGTTCTTTGACCTTGAATGTATTGGTCTGTTCTTATGCTGCTAATACAGACATACCCGAGACTGAGTAATTTATAAAAGAAAGAGGTTTAATTGACTCACAGTTCTGCAGGGCTGGGGAGGCCTCAGAAAACTTACAATCATGGTGGAAAGGGAAGCAAACATGTCCTTCTTCACATGGCGGCGGCAAGCAGAAGGGCCGACCAAAAGGGGGAAAGCCCCTTGTGAAACCATCAGATCTCGTTTGAACTCGCTGTCACCAGAACAGCATGGAAGTAACCATGCCCAAGGTTAAATTACCTCCCACCGGGTCCCTCCCAGGACAGGTGGGGATTATGGGAACTACAATTCAAGATGAGCTTTGGGTGGGAACACAGCCAAACCATATCACTGAGCAAGTCAGTATGTGTTCACTGGGGAAAGAGGAGAAAATTAATACATGTGCTAGGTCTACTTAAAAGGTGCAGCACAAATAGAAGTTTTATCATTTTTTGGGATCTCTGGGAGTAGAAGTTCACAGAACCTGAATACTCACCTTTCATGCTTCTCTTTTACAATTGTAGTCTGTGAGAAGTGTGGGGCTGCTTGCATGTCACACTGGCGGAATCTTGGGCTCTTCCTCTTTTGAACTCTGAAGGCATTTTGTCTGTATGGCTGATATGAAAGTTGCCTTGCAATATCGCTCACTGTGTGCCTGTCCTAATTAACCTACTACTGACAATCCCTTGAAAACAGGGACTTTGAAGAGTGTAAAGGATGTTTCAGACACAGCAGCCAGCACAATTCTTGATAAAAATAGCAGGCATTGAGTAAATAGCTATTGAGTGAAAGGAAGGTTGTTAGAAATCTCTTAATGAGGCCGGGCGTGGTGGCTCACGCCTGTAATCCCAGCACTTTGGGAAGCCGAGGCGGGTGGATCACCTGAGGTCAGGAGTTCGAGACCAGCCTCACCAACATGGAGAAACCCCATCTTTACTAAAAATACAAAATTAGCCAGGCATGGTGGCGTATGCCTGTAATCCCAGCTACTCGGAAGGCTGAGGCAGGGGAATCACTTGAACCCGGGAGGCAGAGGTTGTGGTGAGCCGAGATCGTGCCACTGCACTCCAGCCTAGACAACAAGAGCAAACAAGAGCAAATCTCAAAAAAAAAAAAAAAAAAAAAAAATCTCTTAATGAAAGTTAAGGCAACGTTCTTAAGAATGAATTATGGGGGATAAAAGGAATCCTTGGAACACATCTTGAGGCTTCCATGATTTCTTCTTTATAAATCTGATGCAAGGGAATGGTGCCGAGACTTTCTTGAGCCGAGGTCTCCATCAGTGGCACATGTGTGGAGGGCACCCTGGGATGGCCCATGGCTGTGGTGGTGGAGAACCACATGCCCCAGCTCTGGAGTCCTACTGCATATCCTGGGAGTCCACGGAGCCTAGCTGCTGGCTCACGTCTGTGCTGCTCTGCAATTTTAATGGGCTAATTGGTGCCCATGACAGTTAATTTGCCAGCTAAACCAAAACCACAACTAAAAAAGGACAGTAACTTCTTTATTTTTTTTTTTTAATTACAAAAAAAGTTTTTAAGACAGAGTCTCGCTTTGTCACCCAGGCAAATGGTGCGATCTCGGTTCACTGCAACCTCTGCCTCCCAGGTTCAAGCGATTCTCCTGCCTCAGCCTCCTGAGTAGCTGGGACTACAGGCACAAACCACCACACCCAGATGATTTTTGTATTTTTTAAATAGAGACAGGGTTTCACCATGTTGGCCAGGCTGGTCTCGAACTCCTGACCTCAGGTGATCTGCCTACCTCGGCCTCCCAAAGTGCTGGGATTACAGGTGTGAGCCACCGTGCCCAGCCTGAGAACAGTAACTTCTATATCACCAGTATAGGCCAATAGTGACAGTGAGTTGTGTTTTAATTTGGGGATAGTAACATTTGTAAAAGACTATGGGTCTCAAATAAGGTCTCAAATGGATTCTAGTTCCTGGCTTTTTCGTCTGTGACCATGGGCAGGTTACTATAACTATTTTCTTGACTCTTAAAACAAGGGATGAGGCAAAATAGTTTAAAATTTTTTCCTTCTCTCTCTGAAATTCTTGTATTTAACGTGATTGAAGTGACAATATAAGAACTACAGGAGTGTACATTTCCTCCAAAATTTTATGAAGCGAAAAAAGCAAAGTAATGGATCAAACATTCCATTTTGGTTTTGCAGCCAGTCCCATTCCCTCCTTAAATAGAGTCAGGTCTTGACTGCGGTAGAGAACGTGTTTGTTAAGGCTTCCTAATAATAGCAGGCTGTCTCAATATAAAGTTCACAAAGAACCTTAAAAACATGAATTATCCCTCACATCACCCTGATGGAGCAGAGATGTGTTATTATCATTTTACTTTCACAGCTGGGTAAATCAAGGTATAGAGACACATCAAGCCTCTGGTAGCTTGGACAAGGTCATAGTCAGTGGCACACACAGATAGAACTGTGTCTTCCTGTTTTTCCTTCCATGTAGGGAAAAATGTCTGGATTTTAACTGCTTTTTTTTCCTTTTAAAGATTTATCTATTAATATACATAGAGTAAAACCCAGTTATAATTTGCCTTGCAGTAAAGCAAATTTAGATGTGATCGGATTGCTGATAGTCCTTGTCTTCTCATCTGGATTCTTATCTGAGGGTTGGGACTGATGATCAGAAAGGTCTTGTGATCATCTGGGGCTTTCTCAGTTCAGGGAAAGGTCAGTTATTTACAGTCATAGCTTCGCTATCTATTCTTGTTCCTTTTTTGATGGTTCATACAGATTTTCATTAACCTTGCAATCATGTGGCCATATATTTCCTGTGATTTGTTTCTTTGGAACCCTCTTATGGTGGAGTTTTGCTGTTAATTCTAATTTCTCTCCTGTAATATCTACCCTGACTTCCTTATCTTCTTTTTAAAAAATTGAATAGAATTAACATACTATACAATTTACCTTTTACAGTGTACCATTCAGTGGTTTTTAGTATATTCACAAAATTGTGCAACCATCACTACCGTCTAATTCCACAATATTTTTATTCCCTCAAAAAAGAAACCTGACACCCATCAGAAGTCACTCTTCAAGGCCAGGGTCAGTCCCTCACGCCTGTAATCCCAGCACTTTGGGAGGCTGAGGTGGGCGGATCACAAGGTCAAGAGATCGAGACCATCCTGGCCAATGTGGTGAAACCCTGTCTCTACTAAAAATATAAAAATTAGCTGGGCATGGTGGCGCACACCTGTTGTCTCAGCTACTTGGGAGGCTGAGGCAGGAGAATCACTTGAACCCAGGAGGCAGAGGTTGCATTGAGCCAAGATCGTGCCACTGCACACCAGCCTGGTGACAGAGCGAGACTCTGTCTCAAAAATAAAATAAAATAAATAAACAATAAATAAATAAAAATAAAAAAAGAAGTCACTCCTTATCCTCCACGCTCCAACCCCCGCTCCTGGCAACTATGAATCTACTTTCTGTTTCTATGGATTTGCCTATTCTGGGCATTTCATATAAAAATGAAAATACAATGTGTAACCTGTCATGTCTGGCTCCTTTCACTTAGCATAATGTTTTCAAGGTTCATCCATGTTGTAGTATGAATCAATTCTTCATTCCTTTTTATGGCTGAATAATATTCAATTTCGCCTTCTTTTAATCCAAGAGAACCGTAGCACTTACTGAAAAGTGTCCTCAAATTTTCTTTTTTCCGTAGAAACTTTCTCTAATAGAATCTCATGTGTACTTTTGTCTAGGTTTCTTCTCAAAGTCTTTAAATAGAACTCCAGCTAAGTAGTTCCTAAGGGCTTTGAACTTAAATTCAACTTTATTAAAATTCTTGGAGTGTTTGAAGTACGGTATTGTCTGTTACATGCCTGAAGGTAAGTAAGTGTGGCATTGGGGTGTCCTCCCAGTACTAGTGGGTGTCCGTTTCCTTGCAGTGCCAAGACCTTGGCTGAAGATCTCTCTCGTCATTGACTGTGTATTTTTCACTGGGGCTCATAAAACCCCATGGGAGGCTCTGCACCTTCTTTCTTTGGGTTAAGCACGCTGCCTCAGTCACTGCCATAGCCTGCCTGGCGAAGGAAGATATGGGTACATCTAAACGCTCTTTTTCGTTGTTCTAAGAAGGAGTATTGCAGTCAGTGTGGAGGTGGCTGGCAGCACCTTTCTACTGTGAGAACATCTGCCATGTTCCTTTATGTATTTTTTCCCACTCTAAGGACATTTATCACAAGACAATTGAAACAGATCCTGGCAGCCTGCTATTAAGAAACATTTACTACCAGCATTTACTTTACTGCTCTCTGTTTATTGCCGGTGTTAGCTTGCATTGTCAAAAACATCACCAATTGGAATGTGACCTCAGGTTAAATGGACTTGGAAGATTTATGAATCTTTCTAGCACAGTATTTGTGCTATAATAGAATTTATTTCTTTGCAAGCTTAACAATAACATTCAGACTGCTGCTTTGAATTTCCCTGACATGAGTCATAACAATAAAAAAAAATGCAAAGTCCCAGATATGGTCAGAAGAGAAGACTGATTTTTATCTATATTAAGAGTAGGTAATAATAAATGGTGATCTCTTTGTTAATGGTGCAGTTTGGGACTTGACTCACCTTTGAATGTGGTCAACTCAAGAGTTACTTTTTTTTTCCCTCTCAGTTATTTCTATTATTTCATTTAAATGCTTTGTTTTCATTCTCTTTCACTGACTGATGATCAGAAATATTTGCCTGGATGGCACAGTACAGCTAATGTCATTAGTGAAAGGTGGCACAAACCACTGCATTTTAAAGTAAAAGTATGAGTAAAATTTTGGACAATCTGTGTTACTTAAAAATATGCATTGCTATACAAAGTTTACAAATTTAAATTTATTTAGAAGAAATTGTTTTAAAAGCAAGGTCTCACTCTGTCGCCTAGGCTGGAGTGCAATGGCACAATCACAAGCCACTGCAGCCTCTACCTCCTGGGCTCAAGTGATCCTCCTGCCTCAGCCTCCTGAGTGGCTGGGACTACAGGTGTGCACCACCATACCTGGATAACTTTTTTTTTTTTTTTTTTTAATAGAGATGGAGTCTTTCCATGTTGCCCAGGCTGGTCTTGTGAACTCCTGACCGCAAGCAATCCTCCTGCCTTGGCCTCCCAAAGTTCTCGGATTATAGGCATGAATCACCTCACTGGCCACAAAGTTAAATTTAAAAGGAGAGATTCTGGCTGGGTGCCATAGCTCACGCCTGTAATCCCAGCACTTTGGGAGGCTGAGGTGGGTGGATCACTCGAGGTTAGGAGTTTGAGACCATCCTGGCCAACATGGCAAAACCCCATCTCTACTAAAAATACAAAAAAAAAAAAAAAAAAAATTAGCCGGATGTGGTGGCATGCACCCATAGTTCCAGCTACTCAGGAGGCTGAGGCACGAGAATTACACCTGGGAGGCGGAGGTCGCAGTGAGCTGAGTTCACGCCACTGCACTCCAGCCTGGGTGACAGAGCAAAACTCTGTCTCAAAAAAAAAAAAAAAAAAAAAAGAGAAAGATTTGCAAAGATTTTCTTTGCAAATGTTCAATGTGCTGTTTGTACTGTGAGAACTGGCTGTGAGCATTAATGCAGAGTTTTGTAATAGTGGGTGAAGCTTGAAGAATTGAAAAAAAGTCTTAATTTTCTATTTACATAATGCTATTATGCCTAGGCTGGCAGCTTTGATTTACCCAAATTTTAATCTTTTCTTAAAATTACATTTGTACTTTTTTTAAAAAACAAAAGATACATAAAATGAAGGAATTGAATAGGGTGATTTCTGAGTTTCTTTTCTGATCTAAAATTCTTTGATTCTCTACGAGTTTTTCATTTATGGAATTGCATAGCATAAATTCTGAGAAACTGAATAGGGAAACTGAGTAAATCAAATAGATTAATAGCATAATTCAAATAAAGTACGTTATTTTTTCTGGATGTCAGTAGATAGTAGAATGTAAGTATTAAATGTCAGAGACGTGTAACTCTAATGCCAAAGTGGATTATGTAGTTGAAAACTTAATTAAACCATTTATTATTCACTTGTAACTACTTTGACATTATTTTTTAGATTTTTTTCAGTCTTAGAAAATTATTCTTCTGTAGTTTTCACATCAGAAGGGGTTTCTAAGGATTAATGATTTAATCAACTAAAAACATTTTTTGAGCCTGAGATGAGAGTCCCACTGAAATACACTTCATTGTTATTTGGCTGCTATATTTTTAATTGCTTTAGTGAGTATATTTTATCTTTCTTTGGGAAGTGAGGGAAACTAATACTCAGAGGGTGCAAAATGCTATGGGTTGGATGCATTTTGCATCCTCTGATGCCACTTGATTCTCTTAGAGGTAAAGTTGAGGTCCTGGCCACGGGGAGGGGCAGAGGCAATTCTCAGAGGTGGTGGCGCTGACCACCAGGTGACATTTTGGAAGTTTGTGTTTCTGTTTTTGGTCATCATAATGATTCCAGGGATGGTGACGTTTGGTAGTTGGGACATGGTTGCTGGACATCCGGCAGTGATCACGTTAATCCCATACATTGCACATTGTTCGACTGGACCTTAATGGAGGTTAAAAAACATGCATATAATTATCTGAGCTAGGAATTACCTCGATTTTACAAAGAAATGCAAATTATTTTTTCCCCACAGCTATAGGTACTTGGAATTTTCTGGGAAGATGGCAACCCAATAAATAAAGGAAGTACATCCTTTGTTTTGCTCAGAACTTTGCCAAGAGTTTTGTCATTTTGGAAAATCATGTCCCTGATGGTCATACCACCAAGACACACTGGCATTGGTCTCTGGTGAAGCTTGGGACAAGGCCTGTAGAGCCAGTGGCTGACAGCTTCCTCACGGCTTCTGGAGAGGTTCTGGTGCCATTTACATATGGAGTATAATTCAAACAAAGTATTCAAACCATAGTTTTTAATTATAAATTACTTTCCGTTTATTTTTCTTTTTGTCTTATTTTTAGGGTAGTATATTGCTTTTGGAGAAACTATGAAGGTAGATTATATTAAGAATGATTTTTATTTCAGGATAGTAAAAGTATATATTATCAAAAAGGACCCTTTGGATATGAGAGTATTAAAAATCAATGTACTATAATATATGCTTTGAAGCATGAAAAACATATTTTAAAAACAATTTTCATTCTCATGCCCGATACTTTTAGTCTATTTCAAATGAATCCTCAGTCCGCATATTGAAGCACGGCTTTTTCCGATGCGGTGACTGCTGTCTTAGTTCATTCGTGCTCCTGTAAAGAATAGCACACACTGGGTAATTTTAAAACAAATTTACAGGCTCAGAGTCCTAGAGGCTGGGAAGTCCAGTGTCAAGGTGCCATTAGGTTTGGTGATTCTGATTCCAGGATGGCACCTTGAACGCTGCGTCCTCATTGTGGCTGAAGGTGGAAGGGTAAACAGTGGAAGAGAACAGAGCCACTCCTGAGAGCCCTTTTTATCATAGCATTAATATTCATGAGTCATGGGTAGAGCCCTCATGACCTAAACACCTCCCAGTAAGTCTACCTCCCAACACCATTGCATTGAGAATTAAGTTTCCAACATGTGAATTCTGGGGGATACATTCAAACTATAGCAACTACCATTATTAATTTCTAAAAAAAAAAAAAAAAAAAAAAAAAAAAAAAAAAAAAAGTCATCTTGTACCTTTGTACCTAAGAAGAGAAAACAAATGTTCTCCTGTCACTTTGCATTTCTTGTTTTTGGCTATGGATTAATATCATGTTGAAATTTTAAATTTAATTTCTCTTTAATTGCTGTTCCGGAGAACTGGGGAGGCACTCTCAGACTTTGGGGTGGAGTGGTTCTTAGATCACTTTTTCTAGGAACCAGTTGTCTGTCCTCAGGAGGCCCCATCCTGGCTGCTGGAAAGGCAGGGGAACTCTTCCCTACCTGTCCTTACAATCAGGAGCTGCCTGGTGTCTCCAGGGTCTGCTGGCGGCCACCTGGTGGGTGTCCAGGGACTACAAAGAACTTTCTTGCCTAGTCTCTTGCTGCCTGGTTGAGTAGGGAGGAGGCTGCCAGCAAGACTGGGATTATGGGATGGCATCAGCCAGATGAACCATACGTAGCTGCCTGAGGAGAGTCAGGCTTCCTTAGGATTAAGCTGCAGGTGGGATGCTGGCAGGGACACCA
The DNA here is from genome assembly GCF_000001405.40 of Homo sapiens. NCBI lineage: Eukaryota > Metazoa > Chordata > Mammalia > Primates > Hominidae > Homo > Homo sapiens. Next base: position 155,205,722 of record NC_000006.12, read on the forward strand.
CCACGCACGCCAGGCCTTCTCCCAAGCTTTCCATTGCTGCCCGTTTCCAAGAATTCCCCCTTGAGCCTATCACAGTGAGCACCTAGATCTATTGGTGCTTTCTGGGCAACAGGAAAAAGAAATGGCAAAACCCACACGTTTGCATATTAACTGTGCTAGGTTGGATTTGGAAATGATGTAACTGTACATTTTGAATTCAGATTACGAGCTGTGTGGGTGAGACAACCTTAACTTCAATATTTCCTGATATTTCTGTTTTTAAGTTGGTACCCAGGATGTCCCTTTAACAAATGTTTTGCCCTTTCGTTGTAAAGGATCTGGGGTTGCCAGTGACTTGGCTGACAGTGGTGCTAATGGGCCAGGTACTGACGCACAGTTCAGGAGGAAGCTGAATGACCAGGTGTCTCAAACCTAAAGCCAGATGTGTTCCCCAGTTGTCTGTAAGGAGCTATAGGCTGTGCGGAAGTGTAGGGAGGCAGGCATTTTCCGTGGTAGCCTGCCTGGACTGTCATCCTTGTCCACAGCATGGTTTTTTTGTTGTTTTGAGATGGAATCTCGCTCTGTCGCCCAGGCTGGAGTGCAGTGGTGTGATCTCAGCTCACTGCAACCTCCACCTCCCGGGTTCAAGTGATTCTCCTGCCTCAGCCTGGGGTACAGGCACCCACCACCAGGCCCGGCTAATTTTTTGTATTTTTAGTAGAGATGGGGTTTCACCATGTTAGCCAGGATGGTCTCGATCTCCTGACCTCGTGATCTGCCCCCCTCAGCCTCCTAAAGTGCTGGGATTACAGGTGTGAACCACTGTGCCCAGCCCACAGCATGTTGATTAAAGGAGAGAGATGGCCGAGCCTGGTCTCGTGATTGCTCTGGCCGTGGCACCTTGTACTTGGTGGATGCACAGTGTCTGGCACCCATGGGAATTAAGGGTAAATAAATTAAATGACACATCCAAATTGAGGGGACCAGACTGTAACTTGGGACATTGCAGCTCTGCTGGCTCAACTGCTGAGTAGAAGCTCTTGTTGGCTGTGCTAAATGTTAGATTTTTTCAAATTGCTAGACCTCTGCCCCAAACTGTTAATTTCCACGAGAAATGTGATGAGAAAGACAAAAGGGTATATTAACCAGATACAAATAGATAACTCTTGACTTGAATTTATAATTGATTTGCAGTCATATTGGCCAGAGGCTTTTTCTGGAGTGAGTCTGAACATCTGTACTGTGCAATGCTGAGTTCAGGGTGGGCAGGAAGCAAGTGCTTATTACTCTCTGATAAGGACAAAGAACCCCTAAAACATGTTGCACTGTATATGTCCTGATGAGGCTCTTCCAGGTGGGAAGCCAGATTTTCGCCTGGGAGGGGCAGGATATACTTACTCCCTTTAGCAGCTGGTGCTCAGGATGTGGGCAGAATATAAGGGGGCTATGTATAGGCATTTGGCACCCAGGACAGGATGCCTGTTTCAAACAGCTTTGTAAATAAGCATTCGGATTTTACCAGCCTCCACTCTTTTTAAAGCCAGTCTTCTATTCTTCCAGAATGTACTTTTATCTCATGTCTCTTCTATAAAGAGCACTAAGGGCACCCTCCTTTTACGGGGATACAGGTCCTGGTGAAATTGGAGGCTCCCAGAGCTGGGGATGGCAGCTGTGGACACTGTCCAGCTCGGATTCTCCTGTGCTCCGTCATGTCCAGGACAGTGTTGGCACATTGCTGGTGGCTGCAGGGACTCTGTATGCACAGATGCATTCCACCTGGGGGAAACTTGGGCAGTAGAACACCGCTGAGATTTCCTGTCTTGGCGGATCTCAGGAACTGTCCACAGCTGCCTTCTCTTCTCAGATCCCCAGGGCCAGCCTCAGTGGGAGCTGGTTCCTTTGGGCCATCCTATCCAAGCCTGTGCCTCAGAGAAAATCCGGTGGCACCCAAAGTTTCCTTGAAGTTAAGGGGCTCTAGGGGGCCTAAGGGAGCCTCACTGATTCAAAGCTAAGCCTTTATCCTGGAGTGAGCAGGGTTCTGACAGGAAGGGGTCAGTATTCTCTTACCAGGTACACGTTGCCCCCTTTCTCATGCTTACCTGAAACGAATCTCTTCTTCCCTAAGTGAATGAGTACCTCCTTGTCTCTTTTATAAGAAGCGAACAGTGGTTCGGGGAGTTTTCAGTGTTTAAGTTCCAAAATCTTTGAAGAGATTGACTCAGATGACTCAGGATTCACTTGGCACCCGCTTTTGACATCAGCCATGCTATATTTTCACTAGCATCCATCTGGCATCTTGGGCTCCAAAGCTCCTTATGCCCTTGCCACAGCTGAGTTCTTGGTGGGACTCAAGGTCTTGTTCATCTTTGTATCCCTAGTACTTAGAACATGCCTGATGTACAGCAGGGGCTGTGAAATCCCCATCATCAGTGAATGTGCATGTGGATCATATGTCCTATTTCCTGTACTTGATGTAACTCTTTGGAAATACCAAGTCTTCTTATTTACAAGGTAAAGGCAGCACTAATGCAAATTTGATTCTGTAACCTAGGTAATGCACTTTTACATTGTATGGCTTCTGTGACATGACTCTTTTTTGACGGCCTTATACTTCTTTTTAAATTCTCTATGAAAAGAAAGGTACCTCTCTTGAGAATCACCCCCTCCTGTACCCTTATGCACTGATGTTTCCATGGTTCTCTCCTCGGTCCTCTTGATGTCATCCACCCCCTTGGCTTCACTGCTATGGAGTGATAGTCTGATGACTTCCAAATCCATGTCTCTGTGAAGGCCTTTCTGGGCTTTGGACTCTGGACTCCCCGACCACTGAAAATCTCCCACTGCATGGCCCACATGTGTCTCAGACTCAGCATTGCAGAAGCTAAGCTTGTTATCCCCACTTCTCCCCTTGCCGCATTCCCCATCTACCCAGTCACCTAGGACATAGAAACCAGGCGTCTCCCTCGATGCCTCTCTTTTCTGTATCTTCTTATATTTAATAAGTGACAAAGAGGGGACCCGTAGAATCTACCTCCTCAAATGCTCAACCATCCCTTTTTTCTGTTGCTCTCTTCTGTGATCTTCTGGTCCTTACACCTTGTACCTGTGATGTCACTGTGACTTTCTTGTCCTCCATCCATCCGTCCATCGAGGACACTCTTCCATCTCTGCCCCACTCTGTGCAGCCACACTCGGCAAGTTCCCTGATGGTGCCCGGCTCCTCCTAGCATTGGCCTTTACTCAGGACACTTCCAGTCCTGGAATCCCCTCTCCCCGCTGCCCACCCCGCCTTGTCATCTTCAGCTTGAAAGTCAAATAAATATTCCTTCGACATAAAGGCTTTGCTCAAGTGTCTGCTCTCCTTTGAAGTGTTTTAAGGGCCCAGGGAGAATTAACTTGCTTCCTGAGTGTCCCCACTCAGCAGCCTGTGGGCTTTCCTCATATCATCTGTGACCCTTGGTTGCACTCATCTCTCTGCCTCCCCCTCCCTCACCAACTGCCTCTCCCCAGATTAGAAGCAGCCCGCGAGAGCATTTCACTCCTTTTTGCATCCCCAGCTCCTAGCACCGTGCCTGGAAAACAGCTGCTACTCAAGAAGTATGTGTTGAGCGCATGAACGGGGAGATACACTTAGGCTGGATACAGTAGGATTGAGGGCTGCTGTTCTTTTGTGACTTACCTAGATTGGTCTCCCTTAAGCCAAGGTATACACATCAGAGAAAGGAGGCAGTCTTAAAGGACAGCAGTGGGTCACTTGTGGTTGAGGGTCTCATCTTACTTCCCGTGCAGTTAGCTTGTTGGTGAGGGGACTGCCTCTGTGTTGTGGCATTAGGGGACTAGAGGAGGCAGGCCCAAGTCTGCTTGCTTGTCATGGCTACTCAAAATTTCCCCAGGGACCCTTCATGCCTTTCGGGTCAGCACTGCCTTCCCTAGGCTAAGTTAACTCTGCAACCAACAACAGTGAGGTATGACCGAGATTATCTGTCTGGTCCTTACCTGGATGAGATTAGGGTGTCGGAAGAGGTAATGGAAGAAAAAAATTGGAGCTGCAGAATTCTGTAGATCATTATATGTTTTCCGGAGGCCTTCCCCTATCTTAGAAGTGAGTGCCTGTGTAGTGGTTGGTAATATCAGCATGAACCAGCTACTGGCATTCTTGTCTCCCAGCTGTCCCAACCTCCAGGGGTTCCCCTAGCTTCTAAAGGTTCTCCAGAAACCATCTTCCCTGCCCCCATCATGCTGGGCAGTTTCTTTGTTTGCAAGTCTATCCAAGCCTCTTGGGCCTAGATCAGCTCAGATTGATTTCTTGTTGTACCTAACTGGGATCAGAAACCATCTGGTTTCACCTAGTTGAGGGGACATTCTATCAAATACAAGAATTACAATGAAAACTTGTGTTATGTTTTGATAGAGGCTGGTCTTTCTGTCTCTATTGGAGAAGAGTGCTGAGGATGGGATGTGTGCTTCCAGTTGTAGGCTGGAAAACTATGTGTTCTACTTATTTCATATTATTTAAATTTTTTAATGTTTTAATTTTTAATTTACTTAAATTTTAAATTTTCATTTTTATTATTTTTATATTTTAATTATTACCCCCTCCCCTTCCTTCCCCTCCTCTTTCTTTTTCTTTCCTTTCTTGATAGGGTCTCATTCTGTCATCCAGGCTGGATTGCAGTGGCACGATTACTGCTCACTGCCGCCTCAAACTCCTGGGCTCAAGCCATCCTCCTGCCTCAGCCGTCCAAGTAGCTGGGATTATAGCCGCATACCACCATGCCTGATTGTGTGTGTGTTTTTTTTTTTCAATTTCTCGTAGAGACACTATGTAGTCTCACTATGTTGCCCAGGGTGGTCTCGAACTCCTGGTCTTAAGTGATTCTCTCGCCTTGGCCTCCCACAGGCCTGAGATTACGGGCATGAGCCACCACACCTGGCCCATATTATTTCTTAGCCTTTACTCTGGAAGTTAATAAGGGTTTACTGATCCTCTTGGGACTTTCAAGTTAGGATGAAATTGTGGTTGATGCCAGCACAAGAAACATGCTTGTAAATGAGCAAGTTGTAGATTGGAATAAGTATAATATTCCATCATTGGTTTCCAAGATTCCCTGGTAATTTTGCCTTCACTTAGCCAAAAACAGGGAAATACCAACAAAGTTGTTGCTGTTTGATTGTAGGTCCAAATAAATTAGTTAAGACCAGAGCTTAGGGGAGCATAGTTCACACAACAACGAGAAGAGTGACAAGGTATTTAGGTCATTATTTTGATTGGTCTCTTTCGACCAAAACAGGCAGATGTTGCCTTTTCAATTAGCAAGACCCTAGATCTGTTTCAGAAGCCCATCTGTATGCGTAATTGTAACCTCAGTGTCATTCAGGACTGCTCTGTACTGCCTCCTAGGTTGTTTTCTTCTTTCCTTTCTCCATGTGAGCCTTTAAACCGGGTGTTATTATTCTCTGCAAATGGCCAAACTCATATATGTTTTTGTCATTTTTTATGCAGATTTCAGCAACGTCCCTGATATCACAACAGGTCTGAAAAGGAGTCAGACAGATGGCACTCTGGATCAGGTTTCCCACAGGGAGAAAATGGAGCAGACATTCAGGGTAAGATACTGGCCCAAATCGCAAACCAAGAACCAGGCAGGCGAGTGTTAGTTCCCACCTTTACCTAAGGTGGGGAAAGGAGATGGAGTTACCTATCTCTAGGTCCAGCAGTTGATACAAACATACATATATATGTTAAGGATACAGCTTCCTTATTTATGTATTTTTTTGAAGTGAAGTACTACTAATCGGAACCATTTGCTCTAGCCAGAACTCCTCCATGACTTCTGGTATGCCATCAAAGAGCAGTGCACACTCTGCTGTTCATATATTGTGCTGGCTTTGCTTAGCAATTTTGACAAGGAAAACCTTGTCAAAAGGTGTTAATTACTAATCTCTTTCTTTCTTACTTTTTTTTTTTTGGCTGAAGATAAATTATTTTTGGAATGTTGTCATTTTGTGTGATAAAACGTATATAACATAAAATATGCCTTTTTTACTATTTTCAAGTGTATGCCTCTCTGTGGCATTAAGTATATTCACATTGGTTTGCAACCACCACCACCATCTAGAACTTTTTCATCATTCCAGACAGAAACTCTGTACCCCTTAAACAATAACTCTCTATTTCCCCTGCTTTCAACTCCCTCATAACTTCTATTCCACTTTCTGTCTCATTTGCCAATTTCTAGGTGCCCCATATATTGGTGGAATCACAATATTTGTCCTTTTGTTTCTGGCTTATTTCACTTAACATATGTCTTCTGGGTTAATCCAGGTTGTGGCATGTGTCAGACTTTCATTCTTTTTTATGGCTGAGTAATATTCCATTATACGGATACACCACATTTTGTTTATTCATTCATCTGTTGATAGACACTTGGATTATTGCTGCTGTTGTGGATAATGCTGGAGTGAATGTTGGTGTAAGAGTTATCTGCGTGAATCCTTGTTTTCAGGCCAAGGAGTGGAATTGCCAGGTCATGTGGTGATTCTCTGTTTAGCTTTTTGAGGAACAGCCCATGGTCTCCCACAATGCTGCACTATTTGACATTCCCAGCGGCAATGCAGGAGGCTTCTACTTCATCCACATCCTTGGCAGCATTTGTTACATTCCATTCCTTTCCTGCATTTTTAACTGTTTGTTGTCAGCTACCCTTTCAGAAATGGTCTGATTGACATAATCTGTGTTAATATCCAGTCCAGTTTTAATCGATTTTGAAATTATAAGTCTTCTGTATTTGTTTTTGTCTTAAATACAAAATAAGAATGGAAGAAATAGAAGCAATGATAGGCATTTAAATGAAAGTTATAAAGTGGAACGATGGCTCGGTTGGGTTTAGACTAACACTATCACAAGATTCTTGGGGTATCACTTCACCAGCCGGAAACCTCTGTGGCCAAGGGTGCTTTTGCCCAAGTTTTGCTCGGGCCCACTAGGCCCACTCGGCCCACTCGACCTGGCAGGCTGTGCTCAACTTGCACTACTGGCCTGCATCCCATGCCTGCCAAGAGTGAGCAGAGTGGTGAGGGGTGTGTCAGTGAGCGCAGTGGTGAAGGGTGTGTCAGTGAGCACGTGTGGGGTCTGGCCACCACACACAGGCAGGAATGCTGGCTGTGGTGGGGCAGGCAGCAGCTGCAGGCTCTAGCACGGGCGCCGGTTCCCTGTGAAGCTACGGCTGGATCACACATATTACAAGCAGTTTCCATGGCCTGCATCAGTACCTGGAAGCTTGGAGATGCCAGGAACCGCTGAGCCCCAAAGAGGGTGGCATAGCCCTGGTTCTGGGAACTCCTAGGTCTGGGCTCCCTGAAGGGCTGCAGCTCTTCTCTCCTCCTCTTTTCTCTCCTTGTCACCTGTAATGTGGCGAGCAAGGGGCGTGTTTTGGCCCTGTTTGTGTTGTAGCTCTTTCAGCCCTGCCGTTAGGCAGGTCCCGAATTCTTGTCCCATGACCAGGAAGAAGGAGGTATGCGGGCAAGGGGAGGGTGAGCAAGGTGAAGAGGAGCTTTATTGAGCTGTAGAACAGCTCAGAGGAAACCCACAGTGGGTAGCTTCTCTCTGCAGGCTGGTTGTCCCATAGAGTGTTCACCTCTCAGCAGAGAGCAGACCCTGGAGTGGGTAGCTCCTCTCCACAGCTGGTAGTACTAATGTCTGCTTAGCTTTAAGCAGAGAGGAGACCCTGGAGTAGCTCCTCTCCTCAGCTGGTTGTCTCATTGTCTCTTTGAGTCTGGCTGAGTCCAGGGCTCAGAGGGGTGGAAATGTGCACTGATTGGTCCATAGTGGCCATGAGCAGACCCAGAAAAAGCTCCATAAGTTCCCACTCTGGTCTGTGGGACTGGCAGCCCAGCCCCCAGACTTCAGGCCTTCCCCGGCTTGAAAGTGGGGCTTTTCTGGGGACCCACTCCTTTCCACCCAGGAGCCTGTCTGCGTCCTGCCACTCTTCCTGGTGCCCAGGCTGTTTGTGCCAAAGGGTGCCTGCAGGCCAGGGCCGAGCTGCCCTCAGTCCCCTCCTTGGCCTGCCTCCCATGCTCATTGGTGCCCAAAGTACAGCAGGGGGCTGGCATGTCAGCGCTGCCCTGAACGTGTCCACACATGGCTGGGTTGCAGCAGTGCCTGGGCTTGGACTCAACTTTGCTCCAAGAGCAGAGCGGGCACCAGGAGTAGGGAGAAACCAGGCAGTGGGAGCAGGCTACTTTCGAGCCTGTGGGGGCAATGGGTCCTTCCTAGGCCCCTGAGAGTGCAGAGATGTCTGGGTCCACAGTCGCGGCTACGTGGCTGCAGCAGTACCCGGGAGGGCGGGGCTCCTTCCTGCTCCTGGCCCCCAAGAACACAGGGATGTCTGGGTCAGAAGCCACGGCTGGGCAGTCACAGCTGTGCCCGAGGAGCACGAGGCTCCCGCCCTGCCACTTCAGGATTGGGTGGGGCTTCCACATTCTCAGCTCCTGCTGGCTCCATGGAACGCACAGCGCTGGCCGTGCCTCCCCCGGTGCAGCCGGCATCATCGCAGTGACTGTTCCAGATGGGCCACCGCTGCCATCAAGACCACCAGGAGCCAGGCACATGGCACATCCTTTGGAGGAACCATGTGGCATACCTTTTGGGGGTTGGTGACATCCCCTGTGTGTGAGGGACCAGGTTAGAGCCTGCCAGCTTCAGAACGGATGCTTCTGGTTCCGAAGCAGCTGGTTTGATGAAGCAGCTATGGGCTCTCAGCCTCCCCTCTCTTCTCCCTTTCACTTCCTCACTACCTGCTCTCTTCTCCCGTTTTCCATGCACCTTCTTCCAAATTTCTCCTCCCTCTCCTCCTCATTCCTCATGCAAAGCAAATGCTCAGCTGCCTTCGCTGGCCTGGTTATGTCCCAGGATGCAAGTTATTTTACAAAACTGAAATTCATCAGCATTTTTAGTCCTTCTACTTTGTTCTATCTCTAGTGGGTTATTTAATTTTGGGAACCCAATATCATATCTAATGTTCATTAGCTTTTTAATGAAGCAGTGGATCCTAGAGCATCAAATAGATGTGTTTTGATAGCCTTGTCTTAAATTATTTTTAAATCTTATTTTAATAATACAATAGATATGGGGTCTCACTATGTTGCTGAGGCTGGTCTCAAACTCCTGGGCTCAAGAGATCCTACTGCCCCGGCCTCCTGAAGTACTGGAATTACAGGTGTGAGTCACTGTGCCTGGCCTGACTTAAAATTTTTTAGAAAATCAAATCCTCCTGAAACACTGATAGAGCAAGGCCATGTATTTAAAAGTTAAGTGTGCCTGTGGGGGCCCTGGCACAGGATGGTAGCTTGGGGGACTCTCACTTAACACCGTGAGGGATAACGACTTCTCGTCTCTTATGATCTGCTTGAGTTACACATCAGAGCTCTTAAGAAGGAAATTGAATTTTTTCCCAAAGTTTATCTTAAGATTCAGCAAAATAGATATGCAAAAAGTTAGCACGTTAAGGCCATTGCCAACTCTGTTATTTAACAATGCCTATGGTAACTAAGCAAAACATTTACAAAGTGAACATTGGAGCATCAGAAATTTAGAAGAGGAGAGAAAGCTGCAATCAGGTTGAAATTGGGGCCGTCTGAGCTTCAATTTTCATTGTTAAAAGTGGAGAAAGGAGAAAGCAAATAATAACATCAACGAACACAGAAGAAAAAATTTTATTGAAAGAATATGAGCATGTTAAGCATTTGCTGTAAAATCCCTCTCAAGTCTAACGTAGTTATCACCTTACCTTTTTAAGATATGAAGATTTCCATGTATAATGATAGATTTCAGTGCATTTTTTAAAATCTTTGGTAAATACCTAGCAGTTACTCAGTTTCCCTGTTCTTTGTTTCTTGGGAAAGAAGAATCAGTGGCCACCAAAAGTAAAAACTGTGGTGGACATTAGTGAAAAGAAAAAGAAAATTTCAAATTTAAGGATCACATTTTTTTTTCTGTTCCGTGGTTTTTTTAAAAAAAAATTTTAAATTTTTTTTTTTTTTTTGGAAACATCGTGTTATATCTAAAGCAATCCTCTTCTGGATTTTTTTTTTATTGTTTTAAATTTTGTTTTATTTTATTTTTTTGAGACAAGTTCTCACCCTGTTGTGCAGCCTGGAGTGCAGTGGTGTGATCTCGACTCACTGCTGCCTTGACCTCCTGGGCTCAAATGATCCTCCCACCTCAGCCTCCTAAGTAGCTGGGACCACAGGTGCCTGCCACCATGCCCGGATAATTTTGTTTATTTTTTGTAGAGACTAGGTCTCACTGTGTTGCCCAGTCTGGTCTCAAACTCCTGGGCTGGAGCAATACTCCCGCCTCAGCCTCCCAATGTGCTGGGATTACAGGTGTGAGTCACCGTACCCAGTCCTCTTCTATTTTTGAAGTGGTGATGTGGGAGGTGTCTGGTGAATGCCTAGTGTGTGCTGGGAGTGGATTTTTTGGGACTCCCCCCGCCCCACCCCCTGTGCCATGTCCTCAGAAGGTGGTCTCTTCTCAGGGAGAAGATCTGCCTCTGTTTTCTGGGCTTCCTGCCCTAGCCCAACTGGTCTTCTCAGGGGTCATTAACTTCTTTTCAGATTAGACCCTGGTTGAACCTGGGCTGTTGGGGATATTTTACTAACAACTATTCTAGACATTAGAATAAAGAATAATTTCCCTTGAAAATCAAATGAAGCCTGGTTTGATGAAGCACAGCTGTACCCAGGGCTTTTGACAGCCCCGCAATTTCTGCAAATGGTTCCTAATTGATTGGCTTCTTCTCTGTAAGGGTGCCTATTACTGTCATAGCTCTTTGTGTGACCCTGTCAGCCTCTCCTGTAGGGGGGGATTTTTTTCCCCAGTATTGTTAGCAATTAGCATGTGCTATTGTAATAGTTTGGAGTTTGAAAGAAATATACAATGTCCCTTTGGGTGAGGAGGTTGAAAGAGTTTTTGGTTTGTTCTGGGAACTTAAGGTATATTAAGCAGTCCCCACAGACATGCTGCCTGCACTCCACCTGCTGAGCTGGCTCTGAGGCTCAGGAGACGTGGCCCTCTGTGGTCCCATTGTCTCCACGTCTGTGGTAACCCGGTGCCTTTCTAGAGCAGGCAGGCTCCCGGCATGGGTGGAAACAGAGCAGGGGGCCAGCTTCCCCCAATCACCGGTGCTGCTGTGGAGGAAGAGCTTGGTGGCGCTAGGACGTCCTTGTGAATGTGACTTGGAAGAGCAGTTTGGGATTTTTTTCATTGCCTGGGGATGAGAGGGAGAGACAACGTGTGTCTTACACATCTCCCAACAGCCGACTTAGATGTGATCCGTTCTCCCAGAGGGAGCAGGTTTCTTTGAACTTTTCCTTTTTATGTACAGCATGTAAGTAAACAAGGGCTTTGATTTTCATGGGTAAAGATTTTGATCCAAATGTAGGCATGCTTGCACGGTTTCCTTTTCTTGATTGAAAGTTGATTTTGCTCTAAAAATGTCTAAAGACTGATATGCAGATGAGAAGAGATGCCTTTCTCCCCAGAAGGGATTCTGACAGTGATCTTTACATGCTTTTTACAGCTAAGGATAAGAGAACTTCTTTTGGATACCCGTTCTGTGGCGCTGTCACTGTTCCTTTCTCATTCCAAAATCTTTAACTTCATCTCCGAAATAGTTCTTTCTTTTTGAAATATAAAGATATCAGAAAGGCCTAGGCAAATATTTACTCTACAAAATATGCTTGAAAAGACAGGGAGGAATAATTTGAATATAGCAATTAATTGTATGCTTGTAAAATTTCCTTGGAGTATAGCACATATTAATACTTATATTGGGTTTAATACTGTAAAAGAAAATTCACAAACATGAAACCCATTTTCTACAAGGTAAGCAGAGTTTTTAATTTAGTTATTCTTGATGAAATAATTTTTCGGCTTTGTGGAAGAATTTTATGTAATCACCTAGTGTCGCTTTGGCAGGGATTATTTTTGCCGTTTGTAGGCGTTGTGTTGATAGAACAGAGAGCATTGAGAATCTGGAGATACACAGCGTGACAACTGTGTGTTGTGCTCTTTGCAATTTAATCTTGTTTAAGATATAATTGATATATTTTGTCCTGTTTATTTTTTCTAGGCAGAAAAAAAAGAACGTGCACTAGTGGCTATGGTTTTTAGTGTACAGCGTGAACAAAACTTGCATTTAGTATTTAATTTCTGCTCACCCACTTGGCTTAACCTTTTGAGTTTTTTTTTGTCACATGAATTGCTTTTAAGAGCTTGCCTATCTAAGAAGCTGAAGGAAAAGAAAAAATTATTGGACCACATGATTTGCTTTCCAGCATTCTTGGAGTTTTCGTCTTCCTTTGGTGTATACTTGCCTGCATTATTGCAAGATCTTTTTGGTTATGTTTTTGTTAGGCAGTCAAGCTAAAAGATAACTTATTTATAAACCGTAGTCTTTCTCCATGGTTGCTATTCAATAGATGAATAGAATCATGATCCTTTTCTTAAAACCAAACATGCCTATTTCTAAATGCAAGTTATGTGACTAAATTCCTATTTTAATGCACGGAGAGATGGCCTCCTCAAGGCAAACGCTTTGTCCCTGAAAAATGGTTTGGGGTGTGGCAGTCTCCAGCAGGAAGACAATAATCTGTCACAAAGACCTAATTCCAGGTAGCCCTTTCTTGGAGGCAGTGGTATGTTGGAAAGAACTCGACCTGATGCTTAAACCTGAATTTGTATTCCCATCCACCATGCCTTATCATTATGTGACCTGGGGCAAGTTACCCAACCTTTGTAAGCCTGTGTGTCCTCCTCTATGAATAAACATAACACCACCACCAACCCAGTGTTGTCAAAGGAATCACGTGAGATTATGTCCAACTAGGAGCACTGGAAGCAGGGGAGAGAGGATTAGGCTGTAAGCTGCCCCTTCCTGGTGCGTCTCCCATGTATACGTGTGTGTGTGAAGGTTTTCCCTGTTGCTCACCTAATGGCCTCTTGAGCTGAGATTCGATGTCAGGTAGGAAACTGAACAAATAGATGAGCACCTCAATAAAATGCTGTTGAAAGTAAGACGTGCATGCTTTGACCATCTCAGCTGCCCACCCGTGTTCTTGACCATCTCAGCCATCCACCCGTGTTCTCGACCATCTCAGCCGCCCACCCGTGTTCTTGACCATCTCAGCCGCCCACCCGTGTTCTTGACCATCTCAGCCGTGTTCTTGACCATCTCAGCCGCCCACCCGTGTTCTTGACCATCTCAGCCGCCCACCCGTGTTCTTGACCATCTCAGCCGTGTTCTTGACCATCTCAGCCGCCCACCCGTGTTCTTGACCATCTCAGCCGCCCACCCGTGTTCTTGACCATCTCAGCTGCCCACCTATATTCTCGAAGTTAGTGTCAGTGGTCAACTTCTCCCGAACCGTCCCATGAGATGAAAATGAACTAGAAACCGAAAGCTGTAAGAATTGGGTCCTCTTTGTTGTCTGCATGGAGACAAAGTCTGCTCACCGTGTAGCTGCTTTTTTTTAATGTATAGTGTTGTAAATGGATGAGCTTTTCCAAAGGGTTGCTTCAAGTGACCAAATAAAAATAGTGTATGTTAGATCTGCCTTTCCCTTTAGCAGGAGTAGGCTGTGAACACCGAGATGCTTAGTGAAGCCTGAGCGGCTCTGCCAGCCGAGGAGGGCTTGCAGACTTTGCCCCTCCTGGAAGAGAGGCGGCAAGGACACAGATCACCAGGGGTCAGAGTTGGGCGGAGTGTGGCACCAGCCCATATGCCTTATTCTGCCTCTCTAACGCCACACTTCCTTGGCAGAGACTTGGAGGCAAGTTTGTGGACTTGTTTGAAATGACTGTGCTGTTTTTGTTGGAGTCTCAAAGGCCATTTGATCTCTTTGTAGTGAGTTGGATTTTTTTTTAAAAAATTTCCTATTTTCCGTGCTCCAGAGTATTTGTGCCCTGCTCTTCTTGGTCTATCCTTGGTCATTAGGGTGGATGTGTCAGGCAGATGCCAACCCCTTGCTGGGTGTGGCAGGAAGACGGTGGCTATAGAAGACATTACTGTGGCATAAAGCACACAGAGACCTGTTCTTTTCTTTGCCAGGGATAACTTACACGCTCTGTTCAACAGGGTTGGCAATGTCACTTACGTGTCAACAGGAAAAACAGGAAAAAAAAAAAGAGTGGTATTGAGAATCCAAAAGACAGCGTTCCAAGCAAGTGGCTGCCTGGAAGGCCCTTTGGCAATGGAGAGCTTGTCCTGTAGAGAGGGATGAACAACAGAGCGTGGCAGGAAGGCAGTGGGAAGAAACTTGCTGGTGACCTTTCTCGCCATTTCTTGCAACTGGCCCTTCCCGTCAGCTGGGCTGATTCCTCCTGCCAAGTGGGTCCTTGGACAGAGGCAAACTAAAAAGTGGGCAGTGGGGCTGTTGGCATGGTCTGTGCTGTGGGCTAACTGGGGCCAAAGAGAAATTGCCAGCAACAGGAAGTTGCCTGATGAGTCCTCAGCTGGCTGTGCCTTTGCCAGGCAGGCTTTTAAAACTCAGACATGGGGTGTTGAGTTATTGAACGAGACTTTGGCTGGGGCTCAGAGTCTGCCTGCAGCTGTGGCAGAGGGCCTGTGTTTTCTCTATTAAACATGGAATACACGTATGTCTAGGAGCAGAGTATCATGCAAGGCAGGGGGACTTGAGCCTGGCGAGGCTGGTCTGGAGGCCTGGCGGGCTGCACAGTAAGAACCCCAGGAGCCCTGGGCCAGCCTGGCCCCACCAGTGCTTGTGTCTCCTGATCCTGATCTGGAAAGTAAGGATGATGGCACCTAGCACACAGTGAGGTTGGAAGGATGCAGGGAGGTCACCAATTGCCCTTCTTCCCCTTTCCTTTCTGTCTTTGGATCACTGAGGCACTTTCGTCAGCACAACTGGCTTCCCAGCCTCTTTTTTTTTGGCAGAGAAGAGTTTAATGAAAAAATAGGGATTTGCATTACAAACTAGGGACAAAAAGAAGACATCGTTTTAAACTTGAAGTTATAGAAAATAATCAAGCGTGTCTTACCTCTTTTTAAAATTATTATTATACTTTAAGTTCTGGGATACATGTGCAGAATGTGCAGGTTTGTTACATAGGTATACATGTGCCACGCTGGTTTGCTGCACCCATCAACCCATCATCTACCTTAGGTATTTCTCCTGACGCTATCCGTCTCCTAGCTCCCCACCTCCACTACAGGCCCCGGTGTGTGATGTTCCCCTCCCTGTGTCCATGGTTCTCATTGTTCAGCTTCCACTTACGAGACATGTGGTGTTTGGTTCTTTCCCCTGCTGTTTTCTGTGCCACAGTACTTTCCTACCTGCCTTCCTCTGTCCCTGCTTTCTTCTTTTCCAGACTTTTCTCTTTCATCTTGTTTTTTTTTTTTTTTGAAAAAAAAAAAAACAAAAAAAAACACAAGTTATTATTCAGAGTCATCTTCAGAATCACAAAATAAAGAAGTAAAAAAGAGAAGTTTTAGAGAGCAGCGCTGTGAGAGCTGCAGTGTGAATCACTGCGCTGGGGTGGGCTGGAGGATCAGGGCCTGTCAGGTGGAATGCTGGCTCTGAAATTAACTTGCTGAAGAGATAATGACACTCCCGTTCCTCATCCTGCTGGGACAGTGATGCACAGGAAAGTGACTTGGAGACTACTCAGAGCTGAGGCCACACAAAGATTTGACTGAGCAGAGATGCTGATCTTCACCTAATGCTTTATTTGCCACGTTTATTTCTGATACAGGCTTCTCCTTTTTCTCTCCATTGAAACAGCGGGTGCCATGGTTTTGCTCTCATCCTGTCTGAGATGACACTTGAAGTGGGATATGTTTGACCTTTTCAAGGCAAACAGAAAGCCAAGTTCAAGGAGTCATCAGCCAGCTCCCTGCAACTTAGGTGGTCGTAAGGGACCTCTTGCCAGAGCTGCTTGAGGTCTCCCCTTTAATTTTGTCCACCTGGATGACAGTGAAGATGGGGTTGAACGGCAAGTGTCCCATGTCTGTCCTCTTTCTTCCATCTTCCCTCTCCATGCCCCTCAGCCCTCTATTTCCAGATCTTTATTTCCTTTCTGGGCTTCTGAATTAGAGATGGAGCTATGGAGACCTTGATATAATTTTGCTTTCTGTGGGAGAAGAAAGCAGGAAGTTTGATTTCTCAGGCCAAACTAGCCTCAGTGTAAATACCATTTGCAGGTTCTTGCCTATTCTTCTTCTTATTTATTTATTTATTTTTGTTTTTTTGAGAGGGAGTCTCACTTTGTTGCCCAGGCTGGAGTGCAGTGGCGCGATCTTGGTTCACTGTAGCCTCTGCCTCCCGGGTTCAAGCAATTCTTATGCCTCAGCCTCCTCAGTACCTGGGACCACAGGTGCACGCCACCATGCCCAGCTAATTTTTGTATTTTTACTAGAGACGGGGTTTCACTATGTTAGCCAGGCTGGTCTCAAACTCCTGACCTCAGGTGATCCACACTCTTCAGCCTCCCAAAGTGTTGGGATTACAGGCGTGAGCCACCACACCCGGCCTGTTCTTGCCTATTCTTTGGGGAAGCCACCTCGACATGGGGTACACTCGGAG